>NT_187533.1:0-173649 GCF_000001405.40 Homo sapiens | reverse complement strand
TGCCCTCCAGTGGATCCCAGGCTACACCCCTCCCACCTCAGCCCAGGCTTCACAGTGAACATTGATGTAGCTGGCTTCACTTCACCCCTTCTCCCCCAAATATAAAATGACTGCTGATGTCGTGCCACGTCCACTTCCTTCTCATTTCTGGGCACTTCCCTCTCCTCACCACCCACCATTCTGCCTGGGGGATGTCACTGCCCTTCTGTGCTCAACCCCTTCGTTTGCCTGTCCTACATTCAGCATAGCTTTCCTGAGTGCAAACTTGAAGCAATTTCTTGTCTTCTGTTAGTTAGTTTCTGCCCTACCCACACCTTTGGTCTCCTATGCTTCAGGCTTCTTCACAGGCACAAGCCAGTGCTCTGAGAAAGGTGTCTAGGTCTACAACGTTATGAGCCTTGGGGGATCAAGTTAATATTTACAGTGCATATTTTACAAATATCCCTCACCTCTGTACTAAAAAAGTCTCTCCAAAATTTGATTGCCAGTTTTAACAAATAAAAATACGGGATGCTTAGTTCAATTTCAATTTCAGATAAACAATGAGTGATTTTTTTTTAGCGTATATCCGATGTAATCATCTTTCATCTATATTTAATCTGCCAGTTCTATTTCCAAACCAGTTGAGCAGTTAAATTAAACAATCCTTCTAATCTGCATGTCTTTGGCCTGAAAAACAAAGTTCTAATCCTCCTTTCAATGACTGTGGCCCATACACAGCAAAATGTCCCACCAATTTCAAAACTGGGCATTTTGAGTAGCCTTGGGTCAGTGCAGGAGGCATTTCAAAGCGGTTGCTAGGTGGCAGACCTCATCTCTGGAAAGCATTTTTCACATTCTATTAGTACTGCTGGGTGAGACGAGCTTGGTAGTCAGCCCAAATGTGTATGATTTAGAGAGCTTCACTTTGTTACCATTTTTTCTTCCAATTTAAAATCTATAGCAAAACCAGGTTCAAATAGCACATCTAAAAAGCTTTGTCTTTTGAGCCAAATGCCAGAATGTCTAGGTAAACACAGAACTAAGTAATCACAGGCTTCATTTATTTCAGCTATTATTCTCTGCTGGACTTTTGAGGTAGATAAGACTAGATTTCTTCCAAACAGATCTGGGCAGGAGAAAACTTGAAAGTACCGGCCAGTCTTAAGTATCCTCATGTGATTCCTGATATAAATTTACCTGGAAACTGGAGTGGACACAACAGATTTGTTTTTTAAATCTTGAGTTCTTTTGCAAACATTAAACTGGTTGTACAAAAGGAATAGTGTAACACACCTTTGTTCAAATTACTTAACAAACTTCATGAAACAAGAGCTGTGATTCTACATGCTGTCTTGTTAATCCACAGAAGGAGCAGGATCCCGGAAAGGACACAAAAGAGAGAAATAATCATCAAAAGAATAGTAATAGTGATAATAGCACCTCAACCCAATTTCCCCAGAAAGTACCAGAACCCTGCTTAGAGCATGTTGATGCACGATGATTTCACCATTAAGACAGCATTAAGAGCAGACTCTAAATTAAACATAACGAAATTAAATAACACCTGCATCTTTGTTCAATAAAGTATTCTCTTTTACTATCTTACATCTTCCAGGCATTCAGGGATGGGAACAAAGCAAAGAATTACAGAAATGAAGAGCTGGAAGGAATTTTACAGTTTTTCCATTGGTGCTCAGATTTTGCGAATAAATAATTTAAATGTCTGTTAATAGGAAACTTGCTAATGAATTATGTAATATTAGGTGAAACCATATGAAATTCCTGATATTTGATTGCTTTTGACTCATAAAAATGGCAATTTTATTTGATCTACCTAATGCTCTACAGCTATTAAAAATATATGGTAGTTCTATAAGTACCGGCATTAAATGAATTGTATTTAAGGTAATTTGTAAGGAACAGAGGAGTGTTATAGGGTGCCAGTGTGTAGTATGTGTAGGGATATATATGTTTACTAATGTCTACCATACATCTGAAAATTTATAAAATACAACAAACTGTTAACAGTGGACGCCTCTAGCGGGCCAACTTGGAAACTAGAGACAAGAGTGACAGAGATTTTTTTTACTTTTGTGCAGTCCCAATTTTTACTACATGCATGTATTAAATATTTTACAGCAAACACAAAACAAAAAACAAAGCAACAAGGAAATCACTGTTTAGAGAGGTAAAGCGTCCGTACAAGGCATACAGTGAGCTCATACTAGAACACGTTGAACAAAGTGGCTGCTCAATTGCTTATCTCATTCCTACAATTCAAAGAACAAAAGCTAACAGCTCTTGGTGGCTGCCAGTTGTGGGAGCCACTCTTCACTCTGACCTCATGGTTTACCTGGGATCTTAATTACTCTAGTTAAACGGGGACCTTCCCCTTCAAAACATGGTGTCACTGGAGGTTCAATGCATCACGTTTGAATCATTCTCACTGCTGTTGTGGGTGAACAGATTGGATGCTGCAGGCAAGGGCTGGGAGCAAGAAAGAAGCCCTTCTCCACTTGGTGAAGTCTTCTTGCCATTTCCCTTCCATCTGGCCATGCAGAGTCCTCGGAGTCACTTTCAACAAGTCCTAACCCTTTTCTCATTATGATCTTTATTCTTTAACATGGAGTTAAAAATAACAAAATTTTATTCTAATTATTTGCTGTTCAAGAGGGGGGAAATAAATTAGAATTCAGTTTTTTGTGCACTTATCTGGCCAGGTCTCCCCTACTCTTTGTCCCCATCTCCATTTCCACGTCCTACTTTCCTCCAACCATTAGACCGGCCACATCCAAATTATTCTAATCTATACCAGTGCTTCCCAAACTGTGCTAGCGAGGAGGAACAACTTCATGTTGCAGCTGAAGAAACTGTGGTCTTAGAGATTAAATGACTTGTCTTCATTCCCACAGTTCAAAAGTGGTAAACACAAACTCAAACCCAGCTTCCTAATGTCTAGCCAAGTGTCCTCAGTCTTGAAACTAAAACTGTTTATTTCTCCCTTATCCTCCATCTACTGCCCTATTTTTCTCCTTCGTTTTACTGTCACAATTCCCACAGTTGCAGTTAAGTTCCTAGACTGTTTTCTACTTGCCTTCTCCATAAGCCCAGCCAGTTGGGTTCAGTGCCCACCAAGACTGAAGGTACCAGTTGCAAGGGCACTAAGTGAGCAGCATCTTTAGCATTCAATGCTATCTAAGGTTAGTCTTTCCCGATATACCATGGTAAGGATTATGTGCCTATTTTCTTCACCACTGTACCTATTGGTAGCCTAGGGCCAGGTACCAACCAGGAGCTGCTGATCTGACTTTCCTTTTGGAAACTTCCTTTCTCAGGCTTTTGTGGCTTTCTTCCCACTTGCATGACATCCCTTCCTCCACCTCTTTTTCTTTATAACTTTGGGCATTTTCACCAATTGATCAACCTGTCCATTACTGAAGCAATACTGGAGATAAAGAACCAGCCTGACGTTGGGGTGTTTATATATTATTTGTGAAAAATATAAATGCATAATGGAATCACAAACCATGTAACAATATAGTGTAATAATTATGAGCCAGGATGCATGGCTTCTTAACCTCTCTGTGCTATACTTAATTTTCTTGTGTATAAATGGATTACAGTAGTAGTTCCTACCTCATAAGGTTGTTGTGAGGATTAAATTATATAATACAGTTGAAGCACTTCAAAGAGGGTCTGTATACTGTAAGTGCTCACAAAATGTTAACATGTAAGATAATATATAAATCATTAATAAGTGTCGTAGAAAGTCTCCTTTTCAGAACTCTTTTCCCAAAGAGATCTAGTCAATTTTCAAAACCTCCTTTTCAAGTATCCTCTCCAGAATTTTCTTTGTCATTTTGACTTACCACTCCATTGTCTCAGGAATCATGGGGATTCCTGTTCAGAACATTGAAGATTTGAGAAAGGGAGAATAGGAGCCTCAAATAACAGCCAGCATCAACCAGCTGTGAGGCATGTGAGGGGGCTTTGTCCTCCCGACCCAGACAACCCCACAGCTGGCTGCCTGCTGCCACACTAGAAAACCTAGGTGAGACCTACTGAAGAACTGCCAGGCCAGCCCACAAAATGGTGAAAAAATAACAAATAATAGAAGTTGCTATTTTACGTCACTAAGTGTTGGGGTGGTTTGTTTCACAGCAAAACATACCTAAATATCACCATTAATCCAGCTGTGCAGAGTAGACATGACAACATTTTGGTGAATACTCAAAATCTAGGCATTACATATATACACAAATACGTTTTATATATTTACAAACAGTTTTACATATAGCTATTTGCAGTTTGTAAAACTCAAAGTAGGATATTTTGCATAGTGTGTATTAAAACAGTTTTCTAAAAAAACTTTAATTACATATTTTGAATTTTTGTATAATTATAATTTTGCATAATTATTTTTGGTGGTTGCATTGCACATCATGGTTTGTTAGCCAGTCCCTTGCTGACACTTAGCCTGTTGCTAACTTTTGGCCACCATAACAAAAGGTTTGGTTAAGAATCATCTAATTGCTCTCCAGAAAGAGGTACCAATTTACATTCTTACCATGAATGATTCAGAATTCTCTTTTGCCTGTGCTTTTACCAACAGTGGGTATTGCCTTTTTAAAAGACAATCTTGGCTGGGCACCCTGGCTCATGCCTGTAATCCCAGCACTTCGGGAGGCTGAGGCGGGTGGATCATGAGGTCAGGAGTTCAAGACCAGCCTGGCCAAGATGGTGAAACCCCGTCTCTACTAAAAATATAAAAATTAGCCGAGTATGGTGGTGGGCGCCTGTAATCCCAGCTACTTGGGAGGCTGAGGCAGAGAATTGCTTGTACCCAGGAGGTGGAGGTTGCAGTGAGCCAGGATCACGCCACTGCACTCCAGCCTGGGGAACAGAGTAAGTCTCCATCTAAAAAAAAAAAAAAAAAAGACAATCTTTGCTTATCTAATAAATGAAAAACTATCTCACTAATTCTTAAATTTTGTTTTTATTATTGAGATTGAGTATATTTTGATGTATAGTGGACATTCATGTCTTCTCCAAAATGCTTATTCTTACTCTGTTCATTTTACAACTTTCGTTATCTTATTCTTATTGATTGTATGATACAGCCACTTAACACTTTGTCATATATATTTATATATTTCAATATATAATATATATATTTAATATACAACATATAAATATTTAAATATATATGACAAAGTGTTAAATGGCTATATCATACACAAACCTATTTATATTTATATTTTATATATATTTAAATATTTTTCTCTAATTTCCTTCTAAGAGAAGATTTCCCTCAAAATGTATGGGTTTATGTGGCTTTTCTTAATGCACAAAGGTTAAAATGTTTAAATTGTCAAATCTGTCAATGTTTTGTTTTTTATTTCTGACACTGGTGTCATCATATTCATTTTTTAGAAGATGGCAAAGTTTAAATCTCTTCAAGGAGTATGTATTAGTCCATTTTCACACTGCTATAAAGATACTACCTGAGACTAGGTAATTTGTAAAGGAAAGAGGCTCAATTGACTCACAGTTCCATATGGCTGGGGAAGCATCGGGAAACTTACGCTCATGGCAGAAAGTGAAGAGGAGGCAAGAACCTTCTTCACATGGTGGCAAGAGAGAGAAGTGCAAGCAGGGGAAATGCTAGACGCTTATAAAACCATCAGATCTCATGAGAACTCACTCACTATCATGAGAACAGCATGGAGGAAACTGCCCCCATGACCCAATCACCTCCCTCCATGAACACATGGGGATTACAATTTGAGATGAGATTTGGATGGGGACACAGAGCCAAACTGCCAAATCATATCAGAGTAGTTAGTTGTCATTCAGGTAAAATCTCAATCCCTCAGTCTCTGTTGCATACCACATTCTATTCTCACCATATTCAGCCAAATTAACATCCCACAACTTCTAAAAGCAAACTGTGTTTTGGTGAGCTTAGTTTCTTGTATGTTTTGATGCATGGGCTCTGGAGTATTGTAAAGAAAAAGTTTAGGATTCTGACTCAACCAATTATCAACAGTATGAGAAGAGCTTTTTGGGCTTCAGCTTCATATTTAAGTGGGCTCAGAACTAATGTGAGATTAAGTTATGTGTAACAAACAACAAAGCTTAAAATACAGTTGGCACTTAATGAATATCAGTTCTCCAGCCATCCCTCCATGTTTTTGCTTATCCTGGGAAATCTTTCTGTGACATCATTGTCCGCTTCTCCACCTTGCAATACTTTATCTACCCTTCTGGGCCAGTTTTATCCAGACTCCTTCACAAAGGTTTCCATAGAACAGAGAGCTTACTATGCATCTTACACAGTTTGGGTGTCTTTTATTTTAATGTTTCAGTCATGTTTCATGAGCCAAACTGTAAGGTTCAGGAATGTTTGTCTTAATGCTTGGCACTTGAATGCACCCAATAAATAGTTGTTGAATGTATAAATAAACAAAAGGTACACGGGATGGGAAATACTGGAAAATTGGACATATATTGTAATAAGACTAGCTAACAATTTGCATTTAAAAATTAGCCAAATTATTGTGCTTGGGACACAAAATTTGTGACCAATGTGAATTTGTTTAGTAAATGTAGCCATATATATCTTGCGTTGTACCATTGAATATTCTAATAGTTCAATATACCATTGGAATATACCAGCGGAAAATATCATTACAAATAGTTTGACATACTGTATTTCTTCAATTTTAAGAATAATTTGGTACCACATTTTAATTTCTTTGAAACTGGGATGTGTCTTACTATCAAATAAACATCCAGTGGCCAGGTGATAGTGATGATATAGTTGGCATTGCCTATTTTTGAACATGGGCATAAATGAATTGTTATCATTTCTACTAAATTCTATGAAATTTAGTCCTGTTGTGTCAAAGCCATATGCCAAGAAACATAGTTGAAGGCAGGAGAAATTACCAGATATGACAGATTAGGTGAAAGAAATTCTAAAGCAAAGAGAGGTTGATATAACCAATTCATGTATCATGCAGGACTATGGTTAAGGCATGAAACTACCATTTGTGAGAAACTTTCTCCTGGCCATTAATAGAGAAGCTGCATAGCTTGTAGTGACATACAATTCAGTTGAACAAGAAAACTATGTGTTTAGTCAAATGGGATAGTGCCAGCATCACAACTGCAGAATGAGTGTCATTGTCTAGGAGGCAAATCCCAGAAACAAGATTGGAACATCCTTTTAAGAAATGGTGCACTATCAACAATATTGTGTGGAAAAACACACATGAATGCTTTTCATGAAAAGGTATTCAGAAGAATCAGGCTCAATGTTCGGGACTTTGGTAAATTCATTTTGCTTATATTTTCCTTTCCTACATACACACAGTACTAAGCAAATCTATGTATAAGTGTCTAAAAGCACTAAGTATAAAGTAAAAATTCGATATGACATAACATATTGTCATAGTTTTATTAGCAGCTCTTTTCCTTTCTTTTGAGTGGAACATATAATTGAAGATAGGTTAGATTTGAATAGATAACAATAAATTGAATAGGCACTAGGTCTGTGAGTTTGTAAACTTCCCTCAGTGAAGGACCAGAGCTTGGTGTTTTGTTGTTGTTTTGGTAGGTATTTTGTTGTCTGTTGGAAATGAGGTAAGAAGATCCTATGAAGTCGTCACAAATATTGGTTATACTTGTTTGTAGAAGCAACATAATTTCAAGAAAAGCCACCTTCTCACATCACCTTTTACAGCTTCTTAACATAGGTCACAGGTTGCATTTTGAATTAGGTGAATACTCCATTTGTCAGTCGGTAACCACTTCTGAAATTAATTTATTATATTTCCCCAATATAACAGCAATACATGTTGGTATAGAAAACACCTTATATTAAAAAAAAAGTCTATGTACCTACATGTGAGTATGTAATCAGCCATGTCTTCCACCCAATGTGGAAAATTTCTTTCTTAAAAATTTTCTTAGGCCAGGAGCGGTGGCTCACACCTGCAATTCCCAGCACTTTGGGAGGCCAAGGTGGGTGGATCACCTGAAATTGGGAGTTCGAGACCACCCTGACCAACATGGAGAAACCCTGTCTCTACTAAAAATACAAAATTAGCCGCGCGTGGTGGTACATGCCTGTAATCCCAGCTACTCGGGAGGCTGAGGCAGGAGAATTGCTTGAACCCTGAAGGCGGAGGTTGCGGTGAGCCGAGATCGCATCATTGGACTCCAGCCTGGGCAACAAGAGCAAAACTCCGTCTAAAAAAAAAAAAGTTTCTTATACATTTTTCGATGCCGTTTCTTTTTTTCTTTGTTTATGAAAATGTCTCAGATCAAAGTAATATATCTTCATTGTCCAGGATATTTCGTTAAGTATAGAAAAATATAAAGCAGCATGAAACATACTATCCTTCATCTCACCACCCAGAGATCACATCTTAATATTTTTGGCCATTGCATTCAATCTAGGGCAAAAACAGGCAGCATAACTTGCACACAGTGGATGCTCACTGCATCCCTGCTGAATGCATGAATGCAGAAAGAGAACTTGGAGAAGGGCCCATTTGTCTTGCTAATAGAATCAATTATACAGCTCTTATGGTCTAAAATTATTTGTCTTCTCAAGTTTGCCTCATTATTGTCACACAGCAGGAGCCTGGCCAAGACACAGCCATCTTTCTACTATTTGACAACCAAGCACTTTGGAAGGAATGGTCACTGTTTTCACTTCATTCCTGTCATTCATTCTCTCACTCATTAAATAAATATTAAGTGCCCACCATGTGCCGGAAATACGGAGAAGAAAAAAAAACATGACCCCTGCCCTCATGCAAATTACTGTGTAAAGACAAAAGACAATAAACATAAACACATAAATATATATATATACAAAATTTTATAAGTGCAAAAATAGAAGAGAACAAGTGGCTGGGAAAATAAACGGGGCAATGGTATAATTAAGGAGGGGACAGGGAAGGCCTTTCTGACGCAGTGACAAGTCGGGTCAAGAAGGAACGAAAGGGAAGGTTATGAGGCTGTCAAACTTTGAGTGTGGCCAAAAAAATAATGAAGAAAGTGATGGAGGAAAGACTAGGCTGAAGAAGTAGGGCAGTAGTGAAGTGTCTTGTAAGCCATGCTAAGGATTTTGAGTTTTATTCTATGTACTGTTGGAAACCAATACTTTTTTTGTAGTGTAAATTGAGCTTATTTTTCACAGATAGGTTTCAAGATGCAAAGCATACAAGGACCAAAAATAATTATATGAAAACTCTCCCTCCCTCCGGTTTCCTAGCCACCCAGTTTCCCTCTTCAGAGCTGCCAGTCTTTCCTACGGAAAGACTCTAGGCACAAACAAGCCCATCTATCTGTTTATATTATAATGCATTTTCAGCACTGGGACGAGCCCATCTGATTTAAGACCACCTGAATGCTGAGAGGGCATGACTCTGCGTTAGAACTCTGCGCTACTGCCCACGCATCTCACAAAGTCTACTACGCCGCGCGTTCTCGGTTTCAACGCACCTCCAGGATTCAGGGCTTCCTAAGCTGCAATTCAGCAGGGCTCCCTTGCTTGTTCTCACTCTGTGCCCCCGGCAACGACCCCGCGCGCCTACACTCCCGTGCCGCCTCAGCTACTAGTCCGCAACTTCTAGCCCCAAAACGCTGGAGCTCAGAACCCAGCTCAGGTGCGCTCGTCGGTTTCCCAGGGAGACTGGGGCTGATTGTAGGCACGCGGGGGCGGGAAGACAGCTTCTTGCTTCTGGCTGCGATGGAGGCGGATCTGGGCGGGGCCGAAACGGGGGCGGGGCCAAGTGTGGGGGCGTAGTCAGGCGTGGGGGCGGGCCGGCGCCGGCGCCGCGGTCGGCGGCAGCGCTCTCCTAAGCTCTCGCGGCTGCGCTTCGGTCCCGGACCCGGGCCACCCACGGGGTAGTGGGTGCTCCTCGGCCCCGGACATTGCAAGCCCCAGAAGGTAAATTTGCGTGGGAGCCGCGCACCTGGAGCGCGAGGGTACCCATGATGAGGGCGGGAGGCTGGATGGCGACAGAAGGGAGCGTCCCGCGGCGAGTTTCCCAAGAAAGCTGAACTCGTCCCAAGTTTCTTGTGCCTCGGCTTGCACTCAGTGAATGGGTGGCGGGCTCATTTGCTGCGGGTGGTCTTTTGGCGCGGGAGGGACGCGGAGGTGATTGGATTAATCCGCCTGGGCGGCAGCCCAGATTTCTGCCGGGAACCGCGCACCGCAGTGGTGCAGTTTTTGCCCGAGAAAGGGCGGGTAAGTGCGGTGCAGTCGTGTCCTGCGCAGCAGCAGGGGGACCGCCGGTCTGGGAGCACGCGAGTCGGCCAGGCGTCCCCGGTTGTCCAGAGGCACAGTTTCCTAACTTCTTTCCTCTTTAGGCAAGACTAACTCGGTGTTGCTCCTCCCGGCGCTGACTTCGAGGCCCGGCTATGGACGGCGAGAGCGAGGTGGATTTTTCTAGCAACAGCATAACCCCTTTGTGGCGGAGGCGGTCGATTCCTCAGCCCCACCAGGTTCTGGGCCGGAGCAAGCCGAGGCCCCAGTCCTACCAGAGCCCCAACGGGTTACTAATTACGGATTTCCCGGTGGAGGACGGAGGGACGCTCCTCGCAGCGCAGATTCCCGCCCAGGTGCCCACCGCCTCGGACAGCAGGACGGTACATAGGAGCCCCCTGCTTCTGGGCGCCCAGCGGAGAGCGGTGGCCAATGGTGGGACGGCATCCCCGGAGTACAGGGCTGCCTCTCCTCGACTTCGACGGCCCAAGTCACCCAAGCTCCCCAAAGCGGTGCCTGGCGGCTCCCCGAAATCCCCAGCAAATGGCGCGGTGACCTTGCCTGCGCCGCCGCCGCCGCCGGTTCTGCGCCCCCCGCGGACTCCTAACGCGCCCGCCCCCTGCACCCCCGAGGAGGACCTTACTGGGTTGACTGCCAGCCCGGTGCCTTCGCCCACTGCAAATGGCCTTGCCGCTAATAACGACTCTCCTGGGTCAGGTTCGCAGTCCGGCCGGAAGGCAAAGGACCCCGAACGGGGGCTCTTTCCTGGGCCCCAGAAAAGTTCTTCGGAACAAAAACTCCCCCTCCAAAGGCTGCCCTCCCAGGAGAACGAGCTCCTCGAGAATCCTTCCGTGGTTTTGAGTACAAACAGCCCCGCCGCCCTCAAAGTGGGGAAGCAGCAGATCATTCCGAAGAGTCTGGCCTCGGAAATTAAAATAAGTAAATCCAACAATCAAAATGTGGAGCCCCACAAGAGACTCCTCAAGGTGCGCAGCATGGTGGAGGGCCTAGGAGGACCCCTGGGTCACGCAGGGGAGGAGAGTGAGGTCGATAACGACGTGGATAGCCCAGGGTCTCTGCGGAGAGGCTTGCGGTCCACGTCTTATCGCAGGGCAGTGGTCAGTGGCTTTGATTTTGACAGTCCTACCAGCTCGAAGAAGAAGAACAGAATGTCCCAGCCTGTTCTGAAAGTGGTGATGGAAGACAAGGAGAAGTTTTCCAGTCTGGGAAGGATAAAGGTAAAAGTGGGCAGGAGTGTGGCACGCCATTCACTAAGCGGAAAGTAAATGTGTTGGGAGTGGGGAGGAGGAGCGTAGAGGAAACCCGAAGAAGTCATTCCGTTTTAATTCTGTGTTTTGCTCTTGATTGCTAGTGTACATCCAGCTCTTGGCCACTTTGATGCTGGCAGGCACAGCCGAGTTTAGTGCAACTTTGTGGGAAGAAGTGAAATTCATCACTTTTAAATTTCTAAGCTCAGGCAGAATTGGGGGGGACAAGAGTGAAATATGGCAGATTATTGGCTGAGTGAGTCTTTACCACTTTTAAAAGAGATAGCTGAAAGGGGGAGGAGCATGTTCAGAACCGCACTCTGCAGTCAAGTTGTCTGGAGTTTGCTTAGAGGTTTCAGTCAATGATAGCTGTTATCACAGCTGATTCAGAAAAATACTGATTCCTGTTTGAGCCTGTTGATTATTTTTTGCTTTTACTTACTGAATTTTGAGTGGTTACTACGCACTTGATGTCATTCAGGTAGAATGTGAATTTGAAAATCAGTTGCCAGGATCACAAAAGACATAAATATTTTGTCATCTTTTTTGTTGCTTGTTTTTGTCACCGTGGCCTTTGGTTGTGTTTTATTCCCGTTGTATGCCCATTCATCCTTGAGTGCATGTAACAGATTGGCAGCTGAAAACTTAAGGTTAGGGTGGACACTGTGTGGTATTGCTCCCCTATATTGTCCCATTAGCTGCACTTATTAAAATATTGTCAAATATGACATAAAGAAACAGGGAAAACTGAAGAGGGGTATTTTGGAGTGTGTGCTTCCTTCCACAGAAACAACACAGGTTTCAGCAATAAGGCAGATTCTTTTTGGCAGCCACATTTTTTCTTGGTTAATCAGAGCACTGGAACCAGTCTATATAAATGGCACATATGCAAAACACAAGCAAGCCTGTTTTATTTTAGAGCCCGTGGTCTTAAAGAAAATAAATTACATAACATTTTATGTGTTTTTTCCAACTCTGCAAGTATAGCAAAGTTCAATTTAACAGTGATGGTGAATCACGAGTTGTAAAATGAGCTGACCTGCTAGTTATTTGAGGATTCTCAATCTGTTTTGACAGGGTGTGGGGGATCTTGTACATTTTATTTCATTGTTTCAGTGAATTGTAGTGATCAAATGAGTGAACTCCTCCAGGGCTCAGCTTCTGTGCGCTCTTGGAAATCTAATTAATGTAATGACTAAAAAAAAGTATTTTTACTTAAAATAGCTGTATTTTCTATTTGGCTCATTCATACATAGTTTGCTTTTCCTTTTTTTTTTTTTTTTTTACTTTTTTTTGTCTCTTAGAAAAAAATGCTGAAAGGACAAGGAACATTTGATGGGGAAGGTAAGCATTTAATTTTCCAAACTTTCATTGCTGTTTCAATGTGGAATACCAATTATAAGTTGAAATCCAACTGCAGTAACAAAAATGCTTACGATGAGAAATATGTCCAACTTCTTCTCAAATTATACAGTCCAAAGCTTCTCACTAAGCTAAATTTTTATCTAGTAATACTAATGGTGAATATAGTTAATGGCATTTTTTATAGGCTGATAACTTTTTCAGTCGATGTCCTGGGATTTTTAATTCTTCTCTACCTTGGCTCCATCCCCATGTTCCTCAGGAAGGGTAAGAGCAAGATCTAGCTTTTTAGTTAAAAATTCTGATTTTGGCATTTAGATCTGAAGTCATATTTCTTTAGGTCACATTTCCTTTGACTTAGTATTCTGCCCATATTTCCACATTTGATTATCATTTCTGACTTCCTGTTTCCTTATTAAGTTTCAGCTTTGGGGAAACTCTAACTCTCCTGGCTGACAAAAACATATTCTTAAGACTTTTCAACCCATGTAGTATTTTTATTAAGGATCTCAAAAAAAAAAAAAGCAGCTTCAACCAGGTGTTCAAACCCTAATCAGATTAATGGACTTTTTTAAATAGATGGGTCAAGCGTCAGCCAACTGGAAGAGCATGAAGGGAGCAGTCCCAGCTGTAGCACTTGTTGGGCTAGAGGGTCATGGTGGTAGTGAGGGTAGTTAAATTTTTGTCATGTTTTGAAGTGTGAAGATTTTCCAACCTTCAAAGAATAATAAAGAAGGGAGTGCCCCTCCATAGGTCAAGCAAATGTACAATCACCCAGAGTTATAAAATATGTAGCCTTAGGTGATTGTCAAGTAATTCCCTATATAATTTTTATAAAGATGAGTTTCCCATTGGAACATTTATAAATGACTTATCTATAAAAATTCATTCACCGCACCAATCTTAGGAAATCCAGATATAGTATTTAGCTGGTTGGAATAAGTTCATCTCCCTAATTTTATAATTGAGGAAACCAGAAGATCTGAGAGGTTTGGTAACCTGTCTGCTGTCACACCTAGTTACACAGCCAGTAGTAGGACACAGATCGAGTTCTTAGTCCAGTTTGCTGCTTCTTATAGCACTCTGACTATGAAGTGAACAGCATCTACCTAATATTTACCTAAGGAGATGCTTTACATTCCCTGGAATTTGATATTTATTTTGTGACCTCTGCCTAAGAGAGTTTAAAATTTTTAGATTTTTTTTGAAGTCAGAGAGTAGACTTCATTATAACTAGTTTTACGTTATTTCCTTTTATAAGGAGCTGTTTCTGTGTATCCTCTCATTTCTTCTCAAATATAATGACCTAGAAATTTTTTTCATGTACATACATATGTACATGAGGAATGCAGGATTCTTACAGTTAATGATTAACAAGAATGTAACTAAAGAAGCAGTGTGTCTAAATGGTGAGAATCTGTGATATTAGAGCCAGGCAGACCTGGGTTCCTGTCTTGCTGTTCCTGTTCATCAGTTAAGTGATACTGAGAAAAACCCTTAATATCACAGGGACCTCACTGAGCCACCTCATGTGTGAAATGAGGTTAATAATACTGTTGCCTAAGTTGTTGTGAAAATGAATGAGAAATCTGTCAACAATGTTATGCATATATACTTTGTGCCAACTACTTAGTACTTTGAAGACTAGGGGAGACTCAGCCTTTACCCTCATAATCTGCTTTACATAGCATGACAATCAGAGACCAGTAAAATCTTGAATAGACTCCAGTGTTACTTTAGTCATAGTGCATACAGAATATTCTGTAGTTGATGAGAAAAGGGGCAGATGCATGCTTGTTTTGGTAGATGGGAAAGTCAGTTCAAACTCAAAATGCCCCAAACCAAACTCATAATCTTCCCCACTAAACCTGAATCTCTTCTGGTGTTCCCATCTCCTACTTTCTGGTTGTGAGGCCTGCAGACCTAGGAAACACCCTTAACACCTCCCTCTCTCTGCCCCCATATCCGGTCTTTCACCAGTCTGTTCTATGTTATGTAGCTCAAATCTCCATCATCTTTCGTTGACTACCCCAATAGCTTCTTAGTCTCCTAGGTAGTCAATGTTTTGCTGTCTAATCTAAGCAAGTCTTTCCTTTTCATGGAGTCCCATTGTGTTCAGGAAAGAAATGCTATCATGACAGTGTGAAAGAAACTCAATCCTTTTGTACTCAGGGTGAAATCCAGTTTTTACCATTGCCTACAAATATTTCCTTGATTTGGACTGTCTGGCTCATGTCTCTAAACTCACCTTGTACACTGTGGCCACTAGACATACCCAAGCTTTTGCCACGTTGACTTTCCCTAGTTCTTTTAAGATACAGCCATGCATCACTTAATGATGAGGATACATTCTGAGAAATACACCCTTGGGCAGTTTTGTTGTTGTGCAAATATCACAGAGCGTACTTAAACAAACCAGATGGTATAGCCTAGGATATATGGTAGAGCCAAACCTGTACAGCATGTTACTGTACTGAATACTGTAGGCAGTTGTAACACAATGATATTTGTGTATCTAAGCACAGGAAAAGTACAGTAAAAATACAATATAAAATATTAAAAATGGTACTCTTCTATAGGACTCTTACCGTGAATGGAGCTTGCAGTACTGAAAGTTGCCCTGGGTGAGTCAGTAAATGAGTAGTGAGTGAATGGGAAGGCCTAGAACATTACTGTACACTATTGTAGACTTTACAAATACTGTACATTTAAGCTATATTAAATTTTAAAGAAACTTTTCAATCATTAACTTCAGCTTACTGTAACTTATTTTGTAAAATTTAAAAATTTTTGAATCTTTTCAACTCTGGTTTTAATACAGCTTAAAACACAAACACATTGTACAACTGTACAGAAATGTTTTATTTCTTCACATACCTATTCCATAAGCTTTTTCCTATTGTAAAAAATTTTCATTTTTACTTTTTAAATTCTTTTGTTGAAACTAAACACATGCATTAGCCTAGGCCTGCACAGGGTCAGAATCATCAATGTCACTGTTCTCCATCTCAACATCTTGTCCCACAAGAAGGTCTTCAGGGACAGTAACATACATGGGGCTGTCATCAATGATAACAGTGTCTTCTGGAATACCTCCTGAAGGACCTGCCTGAGGCTGTTTCACAGTTAACTATTTTTTTTTTTTTTTTTTGGTAAGTAGGAGTGCACTCTAAAATAATGATAAAAAGCATGGTATAGTAAATACATAAACCAGTAACATAGTTTATTATCATTATCAAGTATCATGAACTGTATATAATTGTATGTGCTATACTTTTGTATTTTTGGCAGTACAATCGGTTTGTTTACACCAGCATTACCATAGACATGTGAGTAATGTGGTACACTACAACATTTAAGATGGCTAGGTGATAGGAATTTTTTAGCTCCTTTATAACATATGGGACCACCGTTGTAGATGTGGTTTGTCATTGATCAAAACAATATTATGCAATGCGTGACTGTATTATGTTTCCTCTTATGTTCGCATTATAGCTTTTGTGTATGCTTTTCCTGTAGCTCTGTAGCTTCTCAGCTTTCAGACCTTAGACTTTCCTCATTGACCAAATATCTGACTGCCAGACTAGATCACACCCTACTGACAGTCTGTTCTCACCTCTATATAAATCCTTCAGTTTGTAGGTATGTATTTGTGTAAGATCATTATGTTCTCAAACTTATAGTGACTTGCCATCACATTTTGAGTAAAAATCAAAGTCCTTTAATGGCTGAGGCAAGGCCCTACATGATCAGCCCTCTGGTCACCCACAACTCCCATCTTCTTCTTCTTTTTTTTATTTTGAGATGGGGTCCAGTCTGGAGTGTAGTGGCATGATCTCGGCTCACTGCAACTTCTGCTTCCCAGGTTCAAGCAGTTCTTCTGCCTCAGCCTCCCGAGTAGCTGGGACCACAGGGGTGCACCACCACACTCGGCTAATTTGTTGTATTTTTGATAGAGGCAGGATCTCACTATGTTGCCCAGGCTGGTCTCGAACTCCTGACCTCAAGTGATCTGCCCATGTCAGCCTCCCAAAGTGCTGAGATTACAAGTGTGAGCCACCATGCCCGCCGGCCTCAACTCCCATCTTCTGTACTTTCCCCCCATTTCCTTGTACTCCAGCCATGCAGTCCTCCTTGCTGCTCTTGGTACATACAGACATACCAAGTAGACTCATGCCCCAGGGCTTTGCACTTGCTGTGTCCCTGATGAGATGCTGTTTGGGCACTAGTTCTTCATCAGAGTCAACATCAAGGGCCTTTTCTTTGTAGTTTTGATACAGGTGGCTCACTTTCTCACCTGTTCTATGTCTTTACTTAATTGTCACTCCAGTGAGGCCTTCCTAAACTACCCTACTTAACATCTACATGCCCTCCTCCCAGCGCTTTCTACCCCCCTTCCCTGTTTCATGTTTCTTCATGACACTTATCAGCATCAAAATACTATCAAAGTTATTTGCTTATTTATTGCAGTTCTCTCATGCTTTAGTATCAGCTCCTGAATATTGAGATTTTTAGTGTCTATTATTGTATTTCACGTGCTAAGCTGTTGCCGGTTCCTAGTAGGTGTTTTCTAAGTAACAGTTGAATGAATAAATGCATGAGTGAATTTGACAGTTTTTTTAATTAAACTGTTAGCTCATGAGAGGTGGATGAGGGCATGAGAGCTCATGAGGCATCAGAGGTGTCTTTCTTTTGTTTTCCATTTTACTCTCAGCCCTTGGCACGTCATAGATACACAATAAATGTTTATTAAATAGATAAATGAATGGTGATGGACCTTAAATAAAAGATAGGATGTAATTTAACCTAAATTACAGTGATTTAACAGGCCTGACTGTCCTTCATGAGTAGTGGACAGAGACATGGAAACTGCTTCTGTTGGCATTCTCTGTATGGGCTGGTCCCCTTCCCCTGCAGTTGAGTTTGAGATAGAGCTATGTGAATGAGAAAATCACTTTTCTGTAATTATTCTTCAGGGACTAAATCTGTTTGTCTCTCTGTTTATAAAATTGGAGGCCAAACATTGGGTACATATGATGTTTATTTAGAACAAGTAACATAATGATTGAGAACAATTAGTGACACATAGGCCTTGTTTTCTTGCAGAAAATGCTGTCCTGTATCAAAACTACAAGGAAAAGGCCCTTGACATTGATTCTGATGAAGAGTCAGAGCCCAAAGAACAGAAGTCAGATGAAAAAATTGTGATTCACCATAAGCCATTGAGATCCACATGGAGCCAACTCTCTGCGGTGAGTGTTTATCTTCTTTTCTATCTGTGGTAGGAAAAAAACAAGTTTTGGAAATTATGTGTGGATTTGGCTTTTGTTCTTTTCTGCCAGTGATCCTGTAACTAAGGAGAAAGACTCTTTTTAGATTGTGAAATGTTTCTCGGAACTCTGCCCGCACTAATGAGAACATGAACTTTGACACTTCTGATCAGGAAAATTAGGTTTGATAAAATAAAGTGCTATGAGATTGATGTACTGTGACCTCTGGAAACTCTTTCTGCGAGATCTCTCTTTTTGTTAAATATAGCCTGCACTTTATCATAATTATGGCTATTTACATATATATGCGTGTGTGTTTATGTATGTATGCGTGTATATGTACATGTATGTATGTACCTGTATATGTATCTCTGCACAATAGAAAGCTAGTTACAATTCTTCCTTGGAAATTTTTTTTTTTTTTTTTGAGATGAGGTCTTGCTCTGTCGCCCAGGCTGGAGTTCAGTGGCGTGATCTCGGCTCACTGCAGTCTCCCAGGTTCATGTGATTCTCCTGCCTCAGCCTCCTGAGTAGCTAGGACTGTAGGCGTGTGCCACCATACCCAGCTAATTTTTGTATTTTTAGTAGAGATGAGATTTCACCGTATTGGCCAGGCTGGTCTTGAATTCCTGCCCTCTAGTGATCCGCCTGCCTCAGCCTCCCAAAGTGCTGGGATTACAGGCATGAGCCACCGCATCTAGCCCTTCCTTGGAAATTTAATTTGATATAGAAATGTTTATATATTCTTAAAGCTGATTAATGAATGATATTCTGTTCCATCTCTGTGCCTTTTTTGTATGCCTGTCTCTGACACTTAATTTTGTGTTGATGAGTAATTTCTCCTCTCTGCATCAGACACCTTTTGTTTTTTAACTGTATATTTTTTTCCTCCTGGCTTACAATGTCACAGTTTGATGCTTAGTTTACTTGATAAGAGTTTGGGCACAGCATTTGCGAATATCTGATGAATTAGCAAGTAGAAAGGAATTCCCATGGCTGGCTTGGTTCAGGGGAGCTTTGCATCAAAAACAAGCCAGTACACCTCCATGAGTCCTTAGGCAATATCAGAGCAGAGGTGACAGAGATGTTTAGAATCAGGAATCTTGTGTATTTAGGGAACCCACTGGTGTAAGAAAAGGAGTTGTTAATGTTGGTGCTGTATAGCCAGGGCCGTGGGAATATGTGTATGTAAACGGTGGGAGACAACTTCTGCTTCAAGCTCTACCTTCCCTCTTCTAACCTGTATTGGAATTCAAAATTCAATACACCAAGCGCTTTCTCCCTGTCTTCTTCCCACCTCCTAATTTTGTTCTCAGGAGAATCTGTTCATTTCCAGGGCCTCTGAGGTATAGCACCCTTATGATTATGCCAAAAATTAAAATATTCACAGTGTCAGGGGAAGTAGAATGAATATGTGATGCTGGTATATGTAGGTGATAGGGAGTGGTGGGAGCTGTGGTGAACAGGCCTTATATAAATTGAGCAGCTACTACTTAGCTCAAACCAGGTGAGTGCAGGGGCTCAGTGTGACCAGATGTTCTGATAATTAGAAAAGAGAATGTACAAATCCAGACTTTTATGAGTATTTTCTCAACTCAAATTTTAAAGAAATGTTGTGTGTCCAAGAAAGTATTCAGATTTGCCCTCTATGCTAACAGTTTGTAACTTCTGTGATATTTTTAAAATTTTTGCATGTGGTTAGGTGGTAAAAGCTAGCCACAGAATTGGTTTATTAGCAGCCTTATACCCTAATCTAATGATCTCATGATATGTGTATCCCAAAACAGATATGTGGAAAAACTGATGACAAGGTCCATTGAGGCCATGTTGGCTCTAAATGGCTGTCATTCAGTTCATTCAGTTGTTGGTATGGACCATTTGGTAGAGGATCCAGGAGAAGAAAGAAGGCTGTGAATTTTTTGTTTTCTCTCTGTGGCAGCAGCTGGGTTTGTTAGCACAGGCCTAAATCGTGCTGTTGGTCTCTGAAAGAATGCTAAAAAGAAATGTGGATTTTTATGTCAGTTACACCCTGATCTCAGTTTAGCCCAAGAAACAGGCTGCCATATTTATGCCTCCTGGAGTTTGGCTTTCATATACATGAACAAATGTATATACAATTAAATAATAGTGCATATCCTTCAGTTCAACTTTGTTTATGGACTTGCATTTTATTTGGCAAAAAATGAATGTTGTGTCTTTTGTAAATGATATTGATATCATAGAACTATCTTGTAATAAAATGTAAAACTATAAAGTGATTTCTGATTTTAGTGTATGTTATCTTGGAGTTGAGTGTTCCCGGGAGGCTTGTGTGTGTTTATTGTGTTGCTTGGCAATTAAATTTAATGAAAGCAGCATGATTGGACTTGGCCACTTAGCATTACTTAGGCACCAGCCTGCATTTCTTTGTGCCTTTTGTGTCTTCTTTTCACTTACATTTTACTTTAATTTTTTTTGTTATAAAGTGCTTTAAACCCATAGAAAAATTAAAAAATAAATAAAGTTAATCAATTTCTGTGTACCTATCACTCAGATTGAACAAATGTTAATATTTTAACATATTTGCTTCATTTTCTATTTTTTTAGACTATTACAGCGAACCCCTCCTTCCTTTCCAGTTCTTTTCTCCTTCCTACCTCCCCAGAGATAACCACTATCCCTGACGTTCTCTTCTGTCCTTCCCATGAGGGTTTTCTGTCCACCAAAAAGATATAACCAGTTCTGGCTTTTAGGAAAGTAGATATTTTAACACCAGAAAGCAGCCATTACCTTTTTAGAAGCTCATCTGCTACTAAATTTTCAAGTTGTATTTAGGACCCTAACGAGCGGAGGCTTCGTGCATCATTAACAATGTCAGGATGTTTCTCAAAAGTGATCGGCACCTCTATTTCTCTATCTGACCCCTCCTGGTAGTGAAGCTGCAGCGTTTAGGGCAGGTCTCAGAAGACTTTCAACTTTAATATATATATTCAGCTTTAATATGTAATATATAAATATATATGTGTGTGTATATATAGAGTTGGAGGTCTATATATATAAATACCTAGTATAATGTATATATTAAACCTAGCATCATCTACGTATATAAAATCATCCTTCCATGCTTAATTTTAATAATCAAAATAGTAAGGTAGCCCGTCTAATTTTGAGTATAACATTTTAATGCAAAACTCTTCTTAAAGACAAGGGGTTTTCTGGCAGTGGGTTAGGTCTCAGTTCGGCATATACCTTCACTTCCTGCTAAGGAGGGTAGGGAGTGAGTGCACATGTGCATTAGCCGGTGTTGTTTTATTTTCTAAAAAATCTTTTTATTGCAAATGCCTGCCTCCTGGGATGGTGAAACTATCCTTATCAGTTGACTATAAGAAGCATTCAGTATGCTGAATACTTTTGAAGTGCAGCAATTTGCAGTAATTTATGGTTGTTACGTAAGATCTTTAAGCCTTGAGTCTGTGCTGTAATTTGTCTGGGCGTGTTTATGTTTCCTTTGGTTTCATTGGACCATGCTGGGTAAGGCAGTGTTCAGCTATACAGATGACAGGTGGTTCCCCATTTATGGTGTTGGGACAGGTTTAACTGTAGTGTTGTCATTTAGGAATAAAGGAGAATTAGAAGAGGCATTTATTTAGTTGGGCCTCAGTAGAATAATAAATGATAGTCATTTGTTTAACTGAGCCTCAATAGAATAATGAGCCACAGACTTCTATATTAGGACTAAAGAAATAAGGCTGCACACCTACAACTATCTGATCTGGCAGGTTTGTAGAAGATCAGATAGTTGTAGGTGTGCAGCCTTATTTCTGGGCTCTTTTTTCTGTTCCATTGGTTTGTGTGTCTGTTTTTGTACCAGTATCATGCTGTTTGGTTACTGTAGCCCTGTAGTGTAGTTTGAAGTCAGGTAGTGTGATGCCTCCGGCTTTATTCTTTTGCTTAGGATTTTCTTGGCTATTTTTTGGTTCCATATGGATTTTAGAATAGTTTTTTTCCAGTTTGTGAAGAATCTCAATGCTAGTTTAGTAGGAATAGGATTGAATCTATAAATTGCTTTGGGCAGTATGGCCATTTTAATGATATTCATTTTTCCTGTCCATAAGCATGGAATATTTGTCCATTTGTTTATGTCATCCCTGATTTCTTTGAGCAGTGTTTTGTACTTGTAGAGATCTTTCACCTCCCTAATTAGCTATATTCCTAGGTATCTTATTTTTTTGTGGCAATTGTGAATGGCAGTTTGTTCCTGATCTGGCTCTTGGCTTGACTGTTGTTGGTGTATAGAAATGCTAGTGATCTTTGCACATCGATTTCGTATCCTGAGACTTTGCTGAAGTTTTTTTTATCAGCTTAAGAAGCTTTCCGGCTGAGACTATGGGGTTTTCCATATATAGGATCATGTCATCTGCAGACAGGGATAGTTTGACTTTCTTTCTTACTATTTGAATACCCTTTCTTTCTTTCTTCCTTTCTTTCTCTTGCCAGATTGCACTGGCCAGGACTTCCAGTACTATTGTATTAGTCCGTTTTCATGCTGCTGATAAAGACATCCCTGAGACTGGGTAATTTATACAGGAAAAAGGGTTCAATGGGCTTACAGTCCCCTGTGTCTGGGGAGGACTCTGGGGAGGCTTCCACAATGGTGGAAGGCCAGGAGGAGCAAGTCACGCCTTATGTGGATGGCAGCAGGCAAAGAGAGAGCTTGTGCAGAGAAACTTCCGTTTTTAAAACCATCAGATCTCGTGAGACTTACTCACTATCATGAGAACAGCACAGGAAAGACTGGCCCCCATGATCACTTAACTCCCACCTGGTCCCCCCAACAACATGTGGGAATTCAATATGAGATTTGGGCAGGGAAACAGACAAACCATATCAACTATATTGAATAGGAGTGGTGAGAGACGGCATCCTTATCTTGTGCTGGTTTTCAAGGGGAGTGCTTTCAGCTTTTGCCCATTTAGTATGATGTTGGTGATGGGTTTGTAATATATGGCTCTTATTATTTTGAGGTATTTTCCTTCAATACCTAGTTTATTGAGGTTTTTTTTTTTAACATGAATCAATGTTGAATTTTATCAAAAGCCTTTTCTGCATCTATTGAGATAATCATGGTTTTTGTCTTTAGTTCTGTTTATATGATGAATAATATTTATTGATTTGTGCATGTTGAACCAACCTTGCATCCCATGGATAAAGCCTAGTTGATCATGGTGGATAAGCTTTTTGATGTGCTGCTGGATTTGATTTGCCATATTTTGTTGAGGATTTTTGCATGGATGTTCATTAAGGATATTGGCTTGAAGTTTTTTTCTTTTGTTGTTGTATCTCTGCCAGGTTTTAGTATCAGGATGATGCTGGCCTCATAGAATGAGAGAGGAGTTCCTCTTCTCCAATTTTTTTTGGAATAGTTTCAGTAGGAATGGTACCAGTTCTTTTTACATCTGGTAGAATTTAGCTATGAATCTGCTTGGTCCTGGGCTTTTCTTGGCTGGTAGGCTATTTATTACTGCCTCAATTTCAGAAATCGTGATTGGTCTCTTCAGGGATTTGATTTCTCCCTAGTTCAGTCTTGGGAGGGTATATGTGTTCACGAATTTATCCATTTCTTCTCGATTTTCTACTTTATGTGCCTAGAGGTATTCATAATGTTTTCTGATGGTTGTTTGTATTTCTGTGGGGTCAGTGGTAATATCCCCCTTGTCCTGAAATAATGTTAATGGTCGTAGTTCCCAGTTTGGGTTGGTCAAATGTGGAAGGGATTTGAGGTTTTGAAACCTCAATGACTTTGAAAAGTAAGTTTTGACCCCTGGAGATTATCTGGAACTCTACTCAGAGACAAAAACCCTGCTGCACGCAGGTAAATCACCGGTGCCTCACCCAAAACAGCAGCACAAACATTAAGCCAGCAGTTCTTGGATCTCTGGGAAAAGCATGTGGGTTTGAAGGAAAATATTGATTGTATTAGTCAGGGATGGAACACTGTGTACTTGTTACAGTTAATGCCAGGTGTGTAGTCAGCTGAACTTCAGGTTTTCCAAAGGGTTCATTCATTAGTAGGACCCCGGAAGTATTTATTGTCTTTTCTTTTAGATAGATTTTGACTAGAGTTTTTGCTTTTCACTGTAAGTACCCCCTCCACCTCTCCAAGATCATGTACTATGCATGTATGAAGAAATGACTGTTGCAACACCAGTGTTTGTTATGTTAAGTTCGGTGATGGAACCAAAACCATATTTGCCAGCTGTGCCCTGACCTGATTTATTTGCCATGGGGTGCGTTTGTGTAATTTCCATCACCTTGAAATGCCAGATACCTTTGAAAAGGGTGTTCTCTGTTCAGCACCTAATAGAGTCATCCTCTACTGCACTCTTCTTTTGTACTTGCTGACATGTGGCTTTATCAGTAATCTTAAGTCATTGGAATGTTTCTTCAGTTTGCTCAAATATTTTGAACTCTGTAGTCAGAAATGGTTTGATTTCTTAAAGTATTTTAATTTTAATTAAAATATTTTAACTAAAGTATTTTAATTTTAATTAAAGTATTTTAAGTAAAGTATTTTAATTTTAATTAAAATATTTTAACTAAAGTATTTTAATTAAAGTATTTTTCAGCTCTGTGCTAAGTGTGACTAACAGTGCAATGGGAGATCTAGAATTCAGACCTCAGTCTCTGGTTCTGGGCTCAGCTCTTAAAGCACACATAGTGTACCTGTGGGAGACTTTCTGGAATTGCAGGATGAGAAAGGAAGATTTGAAAAGCAGGAATTTTATTATAAATATCATTTCATTCCATTGAAAATGCAGCAGACACTTTGGCATCTTAGTAGTTTGAGGTGATGGGACTTATTATTTTAGAATTTACTCTGTGCTTATTGTGAAAGACATACTATTTTCTAGTAAAAATCAGAGCTCAACAAATGTAATATACCTGAATGTCATTCTGTTTGCAGAAATGCTTAATGCATTTAAACTTATTCTTTTCCCTAAATTTTCACATTTGTCTGAATTTTCAGTTGTTTGTGACTTGTTGCTTAAAATAGTAATTTCTGTAGTTTTATAATTTTTCATTTACAGTTTGGCAACGCAGCAGTCTCATAAGATTATTTTTTTACTTTAGATGGTGACTAAAACCTTTTACCATATCTTTTTTTGTGTGTGTATAAGATATGGAAAATTATTTTCACTTTTTATAACTGGCTCACATTTAGCTCACATCATGGTTTAAACAGAACTGCAAGCACATACTAGTCCACATTTTCAAGTTGGCTTGTGGGTCTTCTGGAATCCTTGTGTCTTTATAAACAAAAATAGAGGCCCATGTGCCTAGACCTGAGATCCATGGTTTGGATATTTTTCCCCTCCAAAACTCATATGGAAATTTAATTCCTGATGTAGCAGTATTGAGAGGTGGAGCCTTTAAGAAGTAATTAGATCATGAGGGCTCTGCCTGCGTGAATAGATTAACAGCCGCAGATTACTGGGCTAATGGATTAATGAATTATCATGGGAGGGGAGCAGGTGGCTTTATAGGAAGAGGAAGAGAGACCTGAGCTAGCTCGTTAGCATGCTTAGCCTCCTTGCCATATGATACCCTGCACCACTTCGGGGCTCTTCAGAGTGTCCCCACCGGCAAGAAGGCTCTCACCAAATGTAGCCCCTCAGCCTGGAACTTCTTAGCCTCTATAACTGTAGGAGATAAATTTCTTTGCTTTATAAATTACCCAATTTCAGGTATTCTGTTGTAAGCACCCCAAAACGGACTAAGACATACCCCAATTAGAATTACTACTCTAGCTAAGAGAGATAAAGGTGGGGGACTACTTAGCTTGGGCCAGGGACTGGGCTCTGTATGTGGTCTTGCTTTTTATGTATAATTAGATTATGGTACATTTCTGAAAATTAACTTGACTTATGTAAGCAATATATAATATGTCCTTCATGTAGAGAATAATTCAGACATTTTGGACCAGGTACAGTGGGTCCTGCCTGTAATCTCAGAACTTTGGAAGGCTGAGGCAGGAGGATCTCTTGAGCCCAGGAGTTTGAGACCAGCCTGGGCAACATAGTGAGACCCCTATCTCTTAAAAAAAAAAAAAAAGAAGAAGAGAAGAAGAAGAATTGGGACATTTCAGATTAGACTAAAGGCTCTTTTGGTCATTTGTGCAATCCCAGTCTCTATCCCCTTCTCCATAGATAATGCTGCTCTCAATTTGGCAATACTCTTCTGAAAATCCACATATATACATTTAAGGAAACAATATAGATTACCCATATTTATGTAAATATACAGACTATTTATAATATACAGCTTGTTTCTTTTCTGCACTATGTGTCTTATAAGTCATTTCATATCTACACATGATCTACAGTGTTATAACTGCATTAATACATAGGATGGATATGCATTTAGCCATCTTTACTGGGGGAGTGTCATACATGCTTTAAGAATCTAATAAAAATTATGAGCCATAGGCTTTCTCTGTAGAAAAATGCACACATGTATACATGTAAATTTTTTTAATAATTTTTGTTTTTTCAGTTTTAGTTGGAGAGTATTTTTTTCTTGACTTTATTTCCAAATACTAGGAGCACCTTAGTGTAGCTTGTTATGTATTGAGTACAGTTTCCATGTTGTTAATATCACTTTAAAAAGTTTTTCTGTATCTGCATTGTTGCAGCGTTGGAACTTTATGTAACTCCTAAAAATATAGACAGAGATTGAGGAAAAAACTACTCTGGTTGGAGCTCACTAATTAAAGGGCAACTGAGTGGTAGATCTGCCAATATTTATGTAATTGATTCTTCTGAGAGAACAGTGAAGTGTTGGGATATGGGGGTGTGTGCACCAGTTGCCCGAGGGTAGGCAGAGATCAGAAATGACAGGTGCTCCAAGAAAGCAGGAGGAGATGAAAACACGGTTAGTTAATTGTTATGGGCATAACTACAAAGGCAGATGTTTCAACTACAAACCTACAACAGGGTCCAGACAGAGAGGGTCTTCTTACTTCATTGAGTAGAAAATCGATGAGAGAGATTGATGAATTCATTGTCTTCATCAAGGGCCTGCCCCACATGAAGTTCTGTCTATGGCAGGCCCTGGAGATAGAGCAAGAACAGACTCCACCTTGCATTCATGTCCTTGTAAACAACCTGAATGGCGAGACAGATGTCAGATATCAAATCATCCCATAGATAAATGCATAATTACTATTGTGGTAAAGCTGTGAATGACTTACTGGTGCTGCTGCAAGATCTTCTAGAAAAGAGCACCTGTCTGGGCAAGGTGCGGTCAGTGGAGAGCAGGTGTCAGAGGAGGTAATGTGAGCTGTCATCTGGAGGGTCCAGGACGATAGCTGGTGGGGCACAGTTGGGGAGTGGCAGGGTAGAAGAGTCTCAGGTAGAGAAAATGTCATGTGCACAGACATTTGGGGTGATGGTGGGTAAGAGGAGTTGGGATAAGGCCAGTGCAGCTGGAACATCTTGATCTCCTTTGTGGGTTTTTCCTCATTCCTCTGTTCTCTAAATTTTGGAGGGCCCCTGGGCTCATCCTTGGGCCTCTTCTCTTACCTGCACTCATGTGGTGGTTTTATCAATCTTGTACTTTTAAATATATCATATACTCGGATGACTTCCAAGTTATTGCTTACTATGAAATCGAATTAAATTTTGGACTTATTCTCAACTAGCTATTTCTTTTGGGGAGTTGGAAGGGATACATTCAAGAATAATAGCAGTCTGTAGGAAGAGAAGGCTCAGGGATGTTGAAGAGTTCTGAATAACTGCATAGAAAGGCTTTTTCATACTGACTTTGGATTGCAGATTCATCTATGGGATTCTTGTATTTGCCCTGTTGAGCTTAATGTATCCTCTTGTGGGGTCTCCTTCCTCAGTCCAAAGATAGGGCTATTTCTCAGGGCCACATCCACACAGTGGTTGGTCTCCATGATGATTGGAGAGTGTTGTCACCTTTAAAATTACTATTGAATCTTTAAATAAGGAATCCTTAAAAATTTGTTACTCAAATTTTGTGGATTTATCTGGAGCACATATAGCCTGTTAATTCTCTAGATTATTAGCCTGTACTCTAATATCTTAATATTAGGATGTTTATTATCTATATTTCTATTATTTTGAGGAGATAAGAACTATACAGTCAGTGGACAACTTCTGTAGCAGGAAGTATTATTGACAGTAAAATAAAATTGCAGATTATTTCCCTCTTTGTAGGAAATAAGCCTATCCAACTATAATAATACAAAAATGGAGCAATTTCCACTTAGCCTGGTTAGAAACCCTGCTTCTGGTAGTGGAGTGCAAAGGAGTCTGATTGTTGTGTGCCCACCTGGGCAACAGGGAGCCCTTATATCCACATGGGTCCAAAGTTCTGAATGAGCAGACTGAGTTGCAGGATAGCTGTTAGCTCTGGGATCATCACAGTATTGATTTGTTTACATGCAGTTAAATTACTGACCACATATTTGCAGGAGACTTATTGTGTACCAGGATTGTGTTAGGTAATTTCAGATACAGTTTATGTAGTCCCGGGACAATGCCACGAGGGTAAGTACAAATTCTTTACTTTGTAACAAGTCAGCTGAGAGGCCAGGATGTTAAATGCGGCTGCTAGTTAAGGTCTTGAGATTACTTGGAACAGCCTCTGCAGTGACCTCAAAAGATGGATACATGTACCTAGGGCTCTGGAAGAGCAGGAACTATGTTTCTCCCAGGTGCTCAGCCAATAATGTGACTGCAACTCTGACTTGGGCTTTTTTTTCTTCTCATAAATTGGCTTATTTTCCCTTTTTACTATGCTTGTCTTTTTCCTGAAAGCTCCTGAATACTCAGGGTTTCTGAGTGCTTTTTTTTTTTTTTTTGAGATAGTCTAACTCTGTTGCCCAGGCTGGAGTGCAGTGGCACGATCTCAGTTCACTGCAACCTCCGCCTCCCATAAGCGATTCTTCTGCCTCAGCCTCCTGAGGAGGTGGGATTACAGGCACACGCCACCACGCCCGGCTAATTTTTGTATTTTTAATAGAGACAGGGTTTTGTTATGTTGGTCAGGCTGGTCTCGAACTGCTAAGCTCAGGTTATCTGCTCGCCTCGGCTTCCCAAAATGCTGGGATTACAGGCATGAGCCACCATGCCCAGCCTCTGAGTTCTCATAACTTACACTTGAGCACTTGAGACTGTGTTAACAGCCCTGTCCTTCCCTCAAGTCACTCTTTCAGCTTCCATCCTATTTTTTTTTTGAGATGGAGTCTTGCTCTGTCGCCCAGGCTGGAGTGCAGTGGCACAATCTCAGCTCACTGCCAGCTCCGCCTCCTGGGTTCACGCAGTTCTCCTGCCTCAGCCTCCTGAGTAGCTGGGACTACAGGCGGCTGCCACCTTGCCCGGCTGATTTTTTTTTTGTATTTTTAGTAGAGACGGGGTTTCACCGTGTTAGCCAGGATGGTCTCTATCTCCTGACCTCGTTTTCCGCCCGCCTCGGCCTCCCAAAATGCCGGGATTATAGGTGAGAGCCACCGTGCCTGGCCTTCCATCCTATTTTTGAAAGGATGTAGGCCAGAATGCCAAAGTGAGTTACACAGTTTAGTTGCCCAGTTTAGTTCCTTGAGAAAGAGAATTATATTGGCTCAGCTACTTTGCCCCCGCTTAATAGGTCACTAGAACATGTATTGTCATTTAGCTAGGTGCTTAACTAACTCTGCTCCAGTCAGCTTTGGCCTCCATGATGTACTATGGCACAAAATGTGGTCCCTTGGGGCTGCTGCTTTTGCAGAGGCTGTGAGTAGAATGGTTTTTCTTGTAGAGGTCCATGGAAGTGTTAAACGACATGACTGACTGACTTTTGTCTAGTGTAAATTTATACATCATGGAGTGGACATTGTAACCATGGTCTTTATCAGCAGCTTAACATGATAAGAAATATGTTTTACCTTATAAACCAGTATGTGTGTCTGAATGTGTATGTTTGCACATATGTATGTGTGTATATATCTCAAAGAAATTTTACAAGGCAGGAGTTACTTTATACTTCTGCTTGCAGTGTACTATAGTATTTTTAATTTTTTTCTGTTCTGTTACATTTAAATAGATAACGATCACTTCATGATAAGACTTTATTTTGCATTCAATGCCAGTTTATAACTTATAATTTGAACAGTGGTAATATCTGACTCCAAAATTCATTTGTTTTCCACTGCACTGTAGTGAATGAGGCAAACAAAACAAGGCTAAAACCCAGCCTACCCTCCAGGAGCTTAGAACCTAGAGCAGAAGACAATAGAAATGAAATGTCTGAATGATATTTTGAAAGGATGTAGGACAGAATGCCAAAGTGAATGACACAGTTGAAATCACAGAAAGCAGTGAAGTGAAGATGAGGAAAGTTTTGTCTATAGGATGTAACTTAAACTAGATGGGCTATTTGGGCAGAAGAGGAGAAAATAAAAGTAATGAAGGTGTAAATTGCTTGAATAAAACTTTTTCTTTTTTTTTTTTTCTTTTAAGGTAGAGATAGGAAGACAGGATTTCACCATGTTGGCCAGGCTGGTCTCGAACTCCTGGCCTCAAGTGATCCACTTGCCTTGGCCTCCCAAAGTGCTGGGATTACAGGCGTGAGTCACTGCGCCCAGCCAATAAAGCTTGATAGGTAGGCAAAGGGAAGAAGAAAGATAGGACTTCTGTGTCTGTTTCTCAGATCTCCGTACAATAAGGTAATTCCTGTCCAAAGAAACCACTGCCTGCTTTGTACATCTAATGGAAAGCATCAGTTTACTCTATTACCCATTTTTCAGAAACAGATTTTGCTCAGGTTAGATTTTTATTGCAAAATCTCAGAAATTCAGAGTCGCTGTTGTTCTAAGTAGCTTATTGTTTTGGAGTTTCTCATTCCTATCCACTGGTCATTTTACAAAAATAGCAAGCAAAAATAAAATAGCAACTAATATATTGGCATCACCTTTAGAAATAGGTGTTCTTTTCTTCCGCAAGAGAGGAACATCAGACCTGTTGTACCTTCCTTAACCCCTTGACTCATACCTTCACTATGTGTAAATGGCATCATTCTCAGTTACGCAGACTCCTTTATCCTCCTTTATCTCTCATGCTTGCAGATTGGCCTGTCATCACTCATTTTCAGCACTGCCTCATAAGCTATTGCTCAGTTTGGACTTGATTAAAATCTTTCTTTCTTATTGCCTCCCTTTACCTTAGCTTCTCATTTCTTTTATCTACAGGTGGTCATCTCTCATTTCTCTAGTTTCTCTTTGGGGCAGCAACAAAGAAATAGAGGTATTATTGGCACCTTTAAACAGTTCTACTTGTCTGCCCTACTCGTTTTGTTTCTTTTTTGGGAGAGGATGTTGAAGTAGTATTTTAGTTTTTGTTATTCGAAGTGTTGCTTTAATTGCAAAGCCAAGACATGTTTATTACAGAAAAATCAGAAAGTACCAATAGATAAAAAAATTGAACTATCTCTTTCTATTCAATCACTATTAACATTTTTGTCTATAACTTTTCAGATTTAAAAATATATAGAAGGATTGTCTTTTACGCAAAAATCAATAATGTAGTAATAGTTTTGTCACTTTTTTCCCTTAACAGTGTCGTAAATATCTTTTCATGTTATTAAGCCTGCTGTTTTGTCACCTTTTTTTAACAGTGTTATGAATGACCTTCTATGTCATTAAATATTCTTCTACAACCTTTTTAAAGCCCACATACTAGCTCCTCAAATAAGTGGATGTTTAGCTCTTTTAACCAATTTCTTGTTGTTAATCATGTGTGTGTTTCTAATTTTTCAATTTAAAATTCAAAATTTAAGGCTGATTAAGTTTTTTAAAATAATTATTTTTGAACTACTGAAGTAAAAGAAATACATTCTCCTTATTAAAATATTAAATGTAACAGTTAAGACTGAAAGCTGCTTAACTTTACCACCATTCCCAACCCCTCAGCTGTTAACCACTGCTATAAGTCTGGTCTGTCCCCCAGTATTTTATTAAATAGTGCACGTTTAAAAATTGTTAGTCTTCGGTTAAATTATAGAATTGCCCTTTACCCTGAATTTATTCCCTTTCATCCTTGTTACTTCTGTGTCATTAGCTTTTCATGTATTTGTTAACCTCATTTTCTCTTCTTAATTTAGCTGATAGATACATGAGAACTGCATCTCTTGCTCATTTGGGGGATAGAGAATACATAAATTTTAGTCCAGGCTCAGTAGCCCACAGCGGGAAATGCAGGTTAGAGAGAGCCACAAGGAAAAGAGGAATTTGTTTGGTGGTAGAAATGTCAGGATTGATCAACAAGTTAAATGACCAGGGAGCCCTGCTGACAGCTTAGCTTTCACTGCAGCAGAAGCCAGGAAGCCAATGAGAGATGTTGTTTCTGGGGCATTCAGGGGGAGCAACTTAATTTAGGGGAAGAGTAGCTTGCACAGCTCTTAAAAACTCTGAAGTTTTAGAAGGCAGTGTGCTACAGTGATTAAGAGCTCAGGCTTTGGGGGTGGACAGGCCGGCCCAAGTTTGAATCTCAGCTTTCCAATTATTAGGGTGAATGACTTAACTTTTCTGTGTCTCCGTTCTTTATTTGTAAACTAGGGATAGTAATGCCTTCCTCACAGAATTGTTACAGGGTTTAGATGCATGGAAGGAACAGTACCTGGTTCATGGTAAACATTTGATATAATGGTAGTTTGAGAAATAAATTGAGAACCAACCAGAACTCTGAATCAGGAATTGACAAGACATGGGTAGCAAGCTGGTGAGTGCTGGCTGCAAATGAAGTAATGCACGTTTATTTCCTAAATGTACAAAGCACAGCAGTTCATTCTTGTGCATTTAATTACTTATCTGTAGTTTGTATTCTCAGCCTCATGTCTGTATTGAAATGATTTGGATTCATTCAGGAATCCTGGCTCTGTCTGTAGATGGTGATGCAGGGCATAGAGGAGCAAGTGTCCTGGTCTGCTTTATCTGAGTTTTCCATTATTTTAGCAAACTCGATGTTGCCTGCTTGAGGCTGAGTACTTGCTATTTCTTGAGATTCAAACACTTTTTTGAGGATTATAGAATTAAGCTTAACAATAGGACATCAGAGAGATCAGCTTTTTGAACAAATTAATTTGGATGTCACTGGCATATTACCTGATGCATTTTTAAATTAAGCATATGATTTTATGATATGTGCTATTATCCTTCTACTTTTTCTTTCCTTAAAAAAAGCGTTCTCTCTCTCTGTTTACCCACCACTCCCCAGAAGGATGACCCATCTTGACCTCATGTCTAGTGTTTGGTTATGCAGATCTCTGGCCCTTTGAAATTTGTGTTCTGTGGCAGCTCCTAGCTAGGAAAAGTGATGTCTTAGAACCTTTCCTTGTGGATGTAGTGGGGTTAAAGAGAGCCTATTGGGTCTGGTTACAGAGGACACTCTTTCTGGACTCTGGCAGATTTTTCATTTTAAGGATTTCAAGCATACTCTCAAACTGCTGCTGTTCCCATGTTATTTACAGTGAAAGAACTCTAGCTCACTTGTAATTCAGGGATGACTCAGGTTACATTAAGTCTGTAGAAAGGACCTGAGAGTGATTGTGTCCTGTGGTATAATTTTACTTTGAAATCCCTTCCCATTTGAGCTCTTGAGAAAAGAAGCCTGTAAGTAGAGAATCACCAATAGACATGAAAAGCAAGCTTACTTTCAGCAAATGGGTAAACTCCATTGAGTTTTAGCTCAGATGGGTGTTCAGTATAAATTAGTGCTTGATGGAGACAGAGTGATCTTGGATTGTAAATCTAATGTAATTTTTAACTGGCTACATTTTTGAGTCTTTTTGGTTTGTGAGGCTTTTGGGTTCTTCCCATCTGTTTTCCCTAGTGGTGGGCAAAAATAGAAGGAATGCACATTCATCTAGAAACACTATCGAGTCATGGAGGGTCTGAGAACAAAGAGGGCATCAGAACATAAATATCCCTGTTTACTTCACAGAAAATGATTATCTGATCAGCCAAGAGACTGGTGCTAATCTTGGTTCTCTCCACAGATGTAGGACTGGCTGTATCCATAGATAAGTTCTGTGTAAATGGCAATTTGAGGGATCTATTTGGGGCTTAGAGAACTTGGCTCATAACCTATTCCAGTTAGTAGAGTCAAAGACCAAGAAATATTACACAAAGTTTATAGTTCTTTTACACAGTTCTCTGCAAGGTGGAGATGCTTAGTGTAACTGTGATGAGTGTAATAATGGACTCACGGTCTAAAGCTTGTCTGTTCCTTTTTAGAGTATTTATCTGAGAAGCTCAGACCTGCAAAGTACTTTAGTTTGGGCTGCCATAACAAAATACCATAAATTGGATAGCTTATAAACAACAGAAATTTATTTCTCACAGTATTGGAGGCGGGAAAGTCCAAAATCAAGGCAGATTTGGTGTTTGGCAAGGGGCTGCTTTCTGGCACATAGTGCCTTCTTGCTACATCTTCACGTGGTAGAAGGGTTAGGGGTTTCTCTGGGGCCTATTTTAAAGGGCGTTAATCCCATTCATGGAGCAAAGCTTAATCACTTCTTGAAAGGCTCCACCTCCTAATACCATCACCTTGGGGGTTAGGATTTCAATATATGAATTTGGGAGGACACAAACCTTCAGACCATAGCACAAGGTATCAAAAAGGAAACCGGCATGATTTTAGGTGGAGTGTCTAATTACCTTTTGGATCTATACTTTGGGAGTTTACCCTTTTACAAATTTCATAAACTATGTTTTGGGTCTAACTAGACAGCATCATATCCATAGAAGAAATATCTTGTAGTGTTCTTTATTAGGTTTAGCCAATTACTAATTTCTATCTCATTTCGACATGCAAAATATATCAGTTATAAAGATCACAGGTCAAGAATTTCAGCACCAATTATACAGTAAATTTGTAATTATGAATTTAAAACTATTATAACATTAGCAAGTTCTATGCATTCACTATCTTAATAAGGCACAGATGTATGCTTATATTTTTAACATGTCAAAACTGTAGTATTGTTCATTTTCTTGTTTTATTTGAATTTTTATCCACTTAAAATGCTGAAGATATAGACATATGTTCATATATTCTGTTTAAAATTCAGAATCTACAGATTTGAACAGTTTGTGAATTGGCTGGATTATACAAAATCAAGAACCTCACATTAAATCCAGTTCTTACTGCTTTGTTAAAAACTACTTTTGCAATTTTACTTGTTGATGACATATTTAAATAAGAAATTTAAACCAGTGAGGAATAAGAAAGTTCAAATGAGGTTGCTTTGGCTGTCTGTGTGTTTAAAGGAGTGTTGCTTTGGCTGTCTACATGTTCCCATTTGTACCCAGCTGAAGCTGGTATGAAATGTATATTTTAAAAATGAGGCCGGACATGGTGGCTCACGTCTGTAATCCCAGCACTTTGGGAGGCTAAGGTGAGCGGATCGCCTGAGGTCAGGAGTTCCAGACCAGCCTGACCAACATGGTGAAACCCCCTCTCCACTAAAAATACAAATATTAGCCAGGCACTGTGGTGCACGCCTATAATCTCAGCTCCTCATCCTCAGGAGGCTGAGGCAGGAGAATCGCTTGAACCCAGAAGGTGGAGGCTGCAGTGAGCTGAGATAGCACCACTGCACTCCAGTCTGAGCGACAGAGTGAGACTCTATCTCAATAAATAAATAAATACGAAAAAGGAGCCTGTACAATTTTAATTTCTTTCACTTTATGTATCAAGTAAGACTCATAGGTTTTAGAAACTGGTATATTATATTTTCTTTCCCACGAATGGAGACAATAGAAACACTTGAAGAAATGGGATAAATTTGACAGTACTTTGGATTCTCATAGCAAAAATTGGTAAACTTCAAAAAGCTTGTCTATTTTAAGACTATAGGTATAAACATATGTTTTTCATGCTACAAAGCCTGGAACATCAAGTGATTTTTACTTAGGTTTACAGATAAGGTCCCTGTGTCTGAATTTGAGAATTTTCAGAGGTCTTTCCTATTAAAAACTTTGTACACATTCTTTTTCCCCTTCTTTTCTTCCTTTTCCTTTCTTCCTCCCTCCCTTCCTCTCTGCCTTTCTTCCTTATTTCCACTTGATGTTATTCACCTACATTCTCATTCTCCCCTGATTGTCTCTTCTTTGCTCTCTCTCAGTCTTCTTGGGGTCCCCTTTTCAGATCATTCTCTCCCCTCTTGGGTTTCATCTCTCCACCTTGATCAGTCTCTGAAATCTTCTTGCCTGTTCATGACCTTCTACCTCCAGACACCTGCTATAAGGTGCTACTTAATTTGGAGTTGACTGTGGAAGGATGCCTCAGGTGGACAAAATGACTCCTCTGGGCCTTGGAGGAAGAACCTCTAGAGCCTGTTCTGTTACAGGCCGTGGAAGGACAGAGACAGAAGCACAGGCCCAGGAGCAGCGGCCTGGCAGCCAGCCATGAGGAGCCGCTTTGTCATACCTTAGAAGAAACTTTCAGGCTCCCCAAATGTGTGACACTTCAGTTTTCTCAATCAGAATACAAGAAGGCTTCCCGGAATCTCTTTTTCTAGCACTATAATTTTGTTAGTTCCTTACTGATGGCTTGTTAAAGGAATATTTTACTATATGTCATGTTAGTATTAGTGAAAGATTATAATTCTGTATATTAATACTTTACCTTTGTCAAAACTACCTTCTCTTTCCCCTCAAAAAAGCAAGTACTTTAGTTGTGGGTTTGCCCTCTCTTTTGATAGGACAAAGTACTCTTAATTCCTCAGTAAAGTAGCTGTCATCTGTGTAGGTCGCTAAGCCCAGGTTTTTCATTCTCTTCTCCTTAAGATTTTTTGGGTCTGAACCCCATTTGGGTGGAGATGCCACTGGCATGGAAATTCTTGCTGGTGACCTCACCTGCAGAGATTGTGGGCATGGCACCTGTATATCCATCTGCCGGACTTTGGGTCATGCAGGAAATCCTGTGAAATTCCTGCTCAGGGTTAACCAAAGGGAGCAGCTCTGAAGGGTTACATTCTTCTGGCCAGTCTCCTCCCTTATTAAAATGTGTAAAGAATCCTTTTTAGCCATGAATTCTTGCTGACAGGCTGACCCAGGGTCAGGATGGTGGGTAAAGCTAAGAACATTCCAAGATACATGTGGACCAAAAAAACACATGAAAACTGGTACAGACTTGGTATTAGAAGGGGTCTTAGTGATGCTAGCCCAACCCTTAGAAATGGGATGCCTTTCATATAAAGTAGGGGGTCCCTAACCAATAATATTGACTAAAAGCATGAGCCCTGGAGTTGGACTGGCGTCGATGCAGATCCTGGCCTTGTTACCTATTAGCTATGTGCTCTTGGATCCTAAGCCTCAATTGTTACCCCCATCTGTGAAATGGGGAAAAGAACAGTATCAGCTTTCTAGAGTTTGTATGAGGATTCAATGGGAAAAAGAGTATAAAATGCTTAGTATATTGTCTGGCACACTATAAATATTTATTAAATAACTGTTGATTAATTAATAAATTAATATTGATGAATTCAACATTTTGTATAGTTTCTCCTAATTCATTTTTGAAGGGCATAGAGTTATGCCTTGAATAATGCCCTTGAAACTTTTAAAGTATTAATAAATGAGTCAACTCTACTTTGCTTTTTCTCCTAGGTGAAAAGAAAGGGATTATCTCAGACAGTAAGCCAGGAGGAAAGAAAGAGACAAGAGGTATGTTTCTACCGAGCAGCTGCTTTAGAGCTCTGGAGTGTGCATGTCGGTGTCTGCTTTTTTGTGTTTTCACTTACTGTGTGCACTTGTTTAGTGTTGCCCTTTGAAAATGTATTTGTTTAACAAAAGCAGTAAGTGATCATTTTAATGTAAAGCTACGCATAAGCCCCCAGAAAAGAAAAAATTTTAAATATCTCAACATCACTCAACATCGTTTGATTTTAAACAACAAAGCACCTAGTTCAGGTATTTAAACTGAGAGAAATATGATAAAAAATGAAACCAACATTAGATCTTAGAACTGAAAAAGGATGTTTATGGAAAAACTGATAGTCACGTTAGTCTGTAGACAAATGTAGCCTATTTATGTAAGATACCCTAGGTTAGGGAAAGCTGGATGTAGCATACAAGGGTCTCTGAACCCTTTTTGCAAGTTTTCTATAAATTTAAAATTATACCAAAATAAAAAGTTTATTTAGTAAAAAAAAAAAAAACAGGTTAATAATGCAGTTTTACAACTTGAAGTTTAAATCAATGCAATTTGAGAAAATTGCTTATTGTAATAATATTGTGAAGCTCTCAAAGCATTTTCCTCTTGCTTCCTGCATATTATTGTGTGTGTGTGTGTGTGTGTGTATGTCAATGCATATACATACATATAAATTGATTCCACAAAGGACCCAAGGATGTCCTTTTTTTTTTTTTTGGTTGGCATAGAATAAAGTGAAATACAAGGGTGCAGTATAGTGCCATTTTTTCAAGTTTAAAAAAAATAATAGTATAGAACTTTGGTGTACCCATCCACTGAGAATTAACAAATGTATAACAATCGTAATTTTTCTCCTTTTTTAAAAAGAACATAAAACTGATAGTGTAGAAGGCCTGCATTCTCTTCCTCAGTCCTGTCCTATTCCTTTCCTCCCCAGAGACAACTATAATTATGAACTGGTACATATACTTCCAGCCTGTGTTTTAAAATTATGTATAACATACACACACATATTTGTGCATGTGTGTTAAAATGTATATGTATGAGATTCTATGCATATTTTTTGGTTTTCTGTTTTTTACACTCAACATTATTTTTGAGATTATTCATGTTAATGCATATGAATCTAGATCATTCATTTCAATCATCATATAGTACTCTAGTCTATGAACACCACCTTTAAATATTTTTTATCTATTTTTCCAATGCTGGACAGTAGGTGGGACTTTTTCCTTCATTGTTAACATTGTGACATAAAAATGTTTCCCTCTCCTTGTGGATAAATTTAAAAGCTCCTCCAAGATATTAATCCCATTTGAACATTTTTGTTCTTTTAAACCTTATATAACCTTGCCTATTTCTATCATATTCTGAAAATATTTATTCAGACTTTCTATTCCTATATAGCAATTCCTACCTGCTATATATAACAGGTCTAACCTAATTTGCTTTTAAATAGTTGATGGTATTATTGCAGGATATTTTAGCAATTATTTTATTAAACTTATTATAATAAACTGCCAATTATTTACCTTTTCCTGTGATCTATTATAAATAGTTCATTAAGTCTTTTTGCCCAGTTTGAGTATTTAGATTAGATTACACACTCTCTCCTTGATGTAATCAGAAGTAAGGAGTGAGCAGAGTGGGGGAAAAGAAGGAATGAAGTGACTTTGGACAGCTGTCTGCTGTGACAATTCATTACACACTGAACATCTGTCTGTCCACCCAACTTGAAACATACCTCAAAATTTCTTTCAAGGAATCAAGACAAAAGCCAAATGCATGAGACATTATAACCCTAAATGGCTTCCTTTGGAGATAACAAAGGGCTTATTTGTTTATGCCCTTCAGGAACAAAAGAAATTATTTAAAATGTTGAATTCAGCAATATTAATTTTTGTTCTCAAAACCCTCAATTATCACTTAATCACATTAATCAGTTAGCATAGTACAGCATTGAAGAAGTGAAAAATGTCTTTGCTGTTGCAAATATTTTAAGTAATTCCAAGGCATCGTATACATCAACACCTGAAATCCATTATTTATGGTCCAGAAGGGAAATTTTTCTTTAATTCGCTTTGTGTATAGTTTTTGGGGGTTATTGTATTGATTGAAAAAATTCAATACGCAGGTTAAATGAGACTCTTAACATTCTTACTCTTTACTCTTCAGATAGTTACATCACTTAATTTCATGAAATACAACTGAGGCTAGATTAGCACATTTAAGTAAGACCCAAGTCCCTAAACCTTACGGAAGTTAAAAGTGGAGGTGAGCACTGAGATTAGCACTTCTAACCTGATTTATAAAATATGGAGCACCCATCAGCAGCTGGGTGTCCACCTGCTTGTGCCTTTCCTGCTCCCACCCAGCCACAGTACCCTCTGCTCTTTGGGGCAAGGACTTGAAGGGGTGGAGCCCTGGAGATCAGGGTGATGAAGACAGAATTACCAGGGAGCTTTCCAGGAAGGCTGTGAATCTTAGGCCTGCATTTTCCCTATATCCCTTTTTAGAGGATCTGAATTTGATTTTGTTAAGGATCTAGATGAATTCCTTACGCAGGGCATTGGAATCTTATCCACATATGTGGGTTGGTATTTCATCATTAACAGTTATCAGGAAAACCACTGTGTGCCTGCCACTGAGAGTCTCTGCAGAGAGTCCTTTGCTCCTTCTTGAGACATTGATGAGAGTAGAGAATGTGACTTGTTGAATAGATGGAATTACTTTCAATTGTATGAGTTTATATAAAAGAATTCCTGTGGTTGATAAGAACCTTTTGAGGGTAGACACAGTCATACCAGAATATTTGCTGTTATTGACTGAAAATTAGTCAGATTAAGCATAGGGAGAGGAAGAGTGTGACACACAAGAGGGAAGGGAAGGAAGGTGTGAGAAATTTTCTCTGAATCTCAAGAGATGACCATAAATCCTTACTGTCCCTAAAGCAGCATGCTTTGAAAGCAGGGCTGGAGGAGATGACCCCAAAGGTTAATTAATGTCTCACTGAGATTTTATGACATGCCCTCGCTTCCTTCCATAGATTCTACCCCTTGGCAAAGGCATGACCTCAGGATGTGATGTCAAGTCATCCACATGATTTCATTTTTTTCATATTTACAGATAGTGATTATTTTTTAAGATTTGGGTAAATGTATATTATATAAAGAGAGTAGTTTTGTGATGTTGTTTCTTTAATGTTCTTTTTGTACTTTCCAAGATACTATACCTGAAAAGTGGAGTATCTTGTTATTCTTACAGCAAAATTATGAGAGCTATATTTAGTTCTTTAATTAAAAGAATTAATAATACATTTCTTTTTCCTTCTTACCAGGCTATCTTTGAAGTCATATCCTCTGAACATTCATATTTACTCAGCTTGGAGATCTTGATACGAATGTTTAAAAATTCTAAAGAACTGAGTGATACAATGACTAAAACCGAGAGGCACCATCTTTTCTCCAATATTACAGATGTCTGTGAGGCAAGCAAAAAGTAAGTGCACTGCAGTCTGCCTTTGGTCGTGCCAAGAAGTTGCGTACTAATAAACACTTTGTTATCTCTAAAGGAAGGCATTTCTGGTTATCAAGTCTCATTCAGTTGGCTTTTGTCTTGATTCCTTGAAATACATTTTGAGATATGTTTCAAGTTTGGTGAATAGACAGATGCTCAGTGTGTAATGAGTTGTCACAGCAGACGGCTGTCCTAAGTTATGTTATTCCTCTTTCCCCACTTTGCTTGCTCTTTACTTCTGATTACATCAAGGAAAGTGTCTTCGTTTGGTGCTAGTCTGTGATATTCATCCATTTCAGTAAAGAAAGAGTAAGCCTTAGGCTTAGGTCTTCTGCAGGCAATATCTGGCTACGATTTAATAATATATATTTTCATTATATTTAAGGATTTTTGCTTTACTTTTTGTCATGAAGAGTAGATAAAATCATATAATAAACTTTTATACATTCAAAACTTATATTTAGCAATTGTTAAAATTTTCCATATTTACTTATCTATTATTTTTGCTTAATTTTTTTCCAAGTATATACATTGGATGTTTTACTTATAAATGCTCCAGTATTCAGCTCTTAAGAATAAGGTTATTTTCTTACATAACTACACTGTTGTGGTTATACTTATGATGATGCTTTTATGATTTTATTCCATTTAAGTTTTGTACGTGTAAGTAGTAGAGTCACATGTTGCAAAATTCCAAAAATATGAAAGATCCTACAGTAAAATGCCATTCATATACTGTTCCCTGGCCACCTGAAACACAACCAGAGTCAACATTTGTTTCTTGTGTATCTTTTTAGTAATACTTTATGATTATGTAAGAAAATACATGTATATATATATTTTTCTTGTTTTTACTTAAATGTTACCATACTATAAACACTGTTCTGCTCCTTACTTTTTTTTACCTCTATCCTGGAGATTATAGCATGTCTGCACATTAAAACTTTCCTTATTCATTTTTATGTTTTTTCCTTGCAATTATTTGTTGAAGAAATCCGGTCATTTGTTCTGTAGAATTTCCCATGAGGCACATAATTTATGGGTGGTGATCAATACCAGATCCATTAATTCATTAAGGATTGTAAAACAGTGTTACTCTAATTTATCGTTCTTTATTCATTTATTAGCTGAAATATTTCTATAAAGGGAAAGGTACATCCATCTATTCATATATTCAGTGGTAAAGTTCACGTTATTCTATTTATTAGTGCTCAAATTGTTCCATCTTTGATCTTAACAATTTTTGATTATTTTCTTGCTATATGACATTTTAAGATGTTAAAGGATCATGTTTTACAATTCCTGCTCCAGGCCTGGAATCAACCATTTCCCCAAAGAGCTCTGGTGTCTTTTGAAATGAGGTGGTATTTAAAACCTCAGTGAGTACCAGCGTGCTCATTGCTAAGTGGTTTTAGGCTGTTTCAGTAGATACCCAGAAAAAAAATCCAAATTTTTCTCTATAAAACTAGATATATTAAAAGCCCATAGACACTCCAAATTTATCAAAGTATATATATTAAATAGGTACTTTTTTATGTATCAATTATACCTCAATAAAGCTTAAAACATAAAGAAGAAAGTCTAGTTTCTATTCTTGTCCCCTCTATCCTATTCTCTTCCCATATAGATACTCTTAAATAAGTTGTTTATCTTTGTTTTTTAAAATAAGCATATGCATATGCTTATGTATATGTATTCCCCTCACTTTCTTAGATAAATGAAAGCATATTCTACTTATTTTTCTCAGCCTCTTTATTCATGTAACAACATATATTAGAGGTTACTCCATAGTAGTTTATGGAGATGTTTTACTCCTTTCTCCAGCTACAATAATTATCATCGAGTAACTGTGTAGTAGTTTATTCATCCAGCCGCCTATCTGTATGAGCATTAGGATTATTTTCAGTCTCACTGTTACAGATAGTTTTTCTTTGTGCTTACACCCTGCTATATATTAGCCATTCTATCTTTGAGATTTTCTAGAATTAGGATTGCTAGATCAAAGGGTAAATGCGTATACTATTTTGTAAGATACTGCCAAATTCTTCTTCAAAGAAATTGTACCATTTTGCAGTACCACCAAGAATAGATGAATGCTTGCTTCCCCAGAGTCTTTCTAGCAGAGTATGTCAACAAACCTTTAGATTTTTGTCATCTAACCTTTAGATTTTGTCTGATAGGTAAGGAGGATTATCTGAGCATAGTTTTAGTTAGCATTTCTCTTATAAGCTTTTCCATATGAATAAGAGCCATCTGGAACATAGTATGTGTCAGTAAAATATTACTAAACTAATAATATTCCTCTATGATGTTGGAACAATTTAAAATTTGAGATAAGCACTAACATTACATCAACAAAAGTCAAGGAAGGAGAGGTTTTCTAATGCTCGCTGAAACACAAGAATATTTGCTTTGACTAGATCAGCAATGTTAACATGTAAGATTGGCTTAGCTAGTGAAAGAGAATTATCTGCTTAATAAGAAGGAGAGGGAAAACGTATTAGCATTTTTTTTTCTGCTCAAAAAGTTAGAAGCTGTTAGAGGCATCTTATCTGAAAAAGTTAATACAAGTAGAAATGATGAACATAACTGAATTTATCAAATACCAAAATATTAGAATCCAGGGTATTCCTTGAGGCTTGAAGGACGTGTACGTTCATTTATTTAGTTATTATTTTAGTTATCTTTTATGGAATACTTATAATTCATACCAAGCATTATGTTGTAGCCTTTTCAATAGAGTATGTATGTATCCTTAAATAGACTGCCCTCAGTGAACAAAGTCTTAGGAGAAATAACAAAAGTATAATGTAGTTCATGGTTAGTAGGCATGTAAAGATCATCACTCTAAGAGGCCAGGAAAACTGAAGGAAAATTCTAAAAGGACTGTAATAGAAATATGGTTTTAGTTTAATAAGCTATGTATACCTATATAATGTACGATTATTTAACCAATAAAATGCTTTAAAGGAATATTTAATAATATGGACTTTAATATATTCAGATTTTAAAGCAGGTCTAAAGAGTGGGATTTCATATTGTTCTAGATTTTAATTATTTGAAAGGTAATTTATCAAAACATAAAGGATAATTATCTTTAATGATAGAATTATGAGTTATTTTAATTTCTGTCTGTGTACTTATCTGTAGTTTCAGCATCTGCAATAAACATAATGTAGTTAGAAAAGGAAACACAAGGAAATGAGAAACAAGCAGTAAGAAATATGAGCCCAGAATAAAACAGGGGAGGTCACTGGATATGGCTGACAAATTCATAATTGGTTAACCTTGAAATAAGTCATTTTATTTAAAGTATAGACTAAAATTTTACTTTAATTTCAGTCATTTACAAAATTCATTTAAGGTTTTATTAAAAATTTTATCTCTGTCATAGCTTATCGTAAGGGGCTATTTTGAACATTTTTGTCTATTTTTTATTTAAAAAAGAAAACAGATACTTTTCATCCTCCATTAAAAGAAAAACAAAGAAATATCTGTATTCTTTACATTTTTATTTTGTTTTCACTTCAAATGCAATGCTTTAATATGGATATCTGCCTTTGTAATAATTTGATCTCTGTTATATTTCAACTAGGAATGTTCAGCTTTTACATGATAACTCTGTCTATATCATAATAACTTACATTACAAAAGTGTTTTTGATTTAGTTTGAAACACTCATTTCAGATACAGCCTTTTTGAAATTCAAAGTACTCAGAAGATTTATTTGCAAAGGCTATTTCATGATGTAAGGCCTGCTTGTTGAACTTCAAGAGTGACACCCAAGTGTTGGTAACTACTTAATGTATTACTCATGAAAGAGTTTGCAGTCCCAAGAAAATGCGAAATAAAATCTTGAGTAAAATAAATGATCAGTGTCTGAATTAGATATTACAGAGTAAGCATGGTATTGTTAAGTATGTCATAACCAGGGCTATCTTCATTGTTTTACTTTTACCTAATGAAAAATTATAGCTATAGGTGATGACATATTCAATATAGGTTGCGGTCAGAACATCCTGGACATCCAAATTAACAGTGTGTTGTCTAGTCCCCTGTATTGTGGCTTAGGTTGTTGACTGCCAATAAATAACACTAAGATTTATGTAAGTTGACACTATTTGAAAACAGACAAGCAGGGACAACGATCATTCTGACTGTGTGTGTGTGTACGTATGTATCAGTAGTATGTCTCTGCAAAATTCTTTTCTTCTTTTAAAACATTTCTCATTTCAGTTAACACTTAGGGCCTCCTATTCTGCAAGGCTCCTAAGTTCCAAAGCATTTCAGCTGGTGGCATCTCCCCAGGGGCCGTTGGTTCTTGGGACCCATGGTAGTTGGCGAACACCTCCAATGTATTTGCAGAGGCGTTTTAGGGCACTTTCCTTGAAATGGAAAGGCTTGGGTTTGGCTGGAGGTTATGGGTTTAAAGGCCCTTGGTGAAAATCAAAGGAGAGCATGAGAGCAGATGTTCGTGAAGGCCATTATGTGCCCTGCTGAGGCATTTTCACCATTTCCTAAAGCCTATGTGGAAACATTTATCAATTAAGTAGGGGACTGATTTTGTGGCATTGTAGAGAACAGTATGGTGTTTGTCTTAGCAGAGAGGTGAAAATGTTAAAAGATTTGAGGCAATTGAAGTAACACAGCTAGCTAGGGTGGAAACTGACAGGGGCCTCCAAGGGATATTGAGAGATATTTAGAATATGGACTCTTGAGGACTTGCTGAAAAGGCGGGGTCCTCCTAGGTTTGCCTCCCAGGTTTCTACCTGGTTGACTATCATTGGAAATTGTATTAACCAGGATATAAGAGAAACAGATTGGGGCTTAGGGAGGGAGACAAGGAATTCAGTTTGGGGCATTTTGCATTTGAGTGCCTGGAACATGAGAGTAAGGTATTTAGTTAAAAAGAGAAAAGCAGGTTAGAACTACAGAAAAATCTTCAGTAGGGATGTCAATTTGAGTCACAGAGGTGGTTCTTGTCATTTTAAGTTTAAATGAGATAACTACAACTTGTAGCAGTGGTTTGTAAGCAGTGGTGGTGGTATTTACCCCCTAAGGATACTTGGAAATGCATTTTTGGTTGCCCCAGTAGACTTGGGGGGCTCTATTGACATTAGTAGGTGGGGGCCAGGGTGCCAGGCATCCTACACTTAGTAGGACAGTCCCAGATAAGCCTGAATTGTCCCACCCAAATGCCACTGAAGCCCTTTTTGAGATGCATGGAGTAAAAAGAAGACGAATGTCAGAATTTTGACAAAGAAACATTTAAGGAGCCTGTGGGTTGGAACAGAAATGAGTTAAATAGGATAAGAGGAATTGCACAGTGTGCATGGATCTTAAGTCCTTTGGCTGTAAAGGGTTTGCCTCTCTTATTAACACCTTCCTGTTACTCTGTCTCTTAGTGCCATGGCCTAACAATTGTTTGTTTTCTAACCCTCCTTAAAAGGAGTATTTGGGGAGTTAGAATCCTACTGATTGTTTTTACCCTGCCTAAGAAGGGTGACACACTTTCCTTTTGCATGGAATGATTAGAGCTAAATTCTTTAAATTTAGGTAGTACCTAGATGACTTTGGGTCAGTGTCAGGGAAAAAGGCTTTGACTTCCAACTCTACTTCCTTCCTGTTTAACTGTACCAACTTCTTCCCTCTGACTCAAATTCATGAGCTTTTCCTGGTTTCATGATCTCCTTGTCTTTTAAGGACCTCGGCTATCTTAAAAGCCTGATCATCTCATGAAAAATGGAGTATTTGATATCATCTTTCAATTAGAAATGAATAGGCTTAATTCATAACTAAACATCACACATAGTATATACTTTGCATATTTTCATATTTCCTTTGATTTTTTTTTGGTTCTTCCCCTACAAAATCTACAAAAATCTATGGTTACTTAGGATAATTTATAGATAATCCCTGTGTTAATATAAAAAGACCTATAAATGTGATTAACTTACAATGATTTGCAACAGAATATGATCTAACACCAATTGTTTTTAAATTTAAGATACATCCCTATTAAAAGACTGATACTATTAGGAAAGAAAATTGTCTTTTGTAGAAGACTGAATGTTAACCCTTCTCCCATATTTAGAAACTCTAAGGTCTAAATAAGGTCTTTTGTGTTAAAAAGTTTTCTGCAAAATGAAAATTAGATGAGTCTTTGCTTTGATGTTTCATAAAAAGATGGGTTTTTACTCTCAATTCTGAGTTTTCATTCTAAATACCTAGGTTATGTTAACAGTCTTTCATTTAATTTTTTTCAATAACAGAGTGTGCTGTTATTAGTACCCTATAAAAATATGCTACTGAAGACCTTTGCAAGGTACTTGTTTCTCTTTTTCCAATTACAAAGTTAAAACATTGGTATTCTTTGGAAAGCCATTTAAAACTAAAACTATGCTTGTCTTCAATTTCTGCAGAGTAAAGTAAAAATATCCATCAATGTGCTTTTGTGTCCTGAGGAACTGAATTTGTTCCCAACATATAATGAGCAGTGAATGCCAAATTCTCTGGTTTCTGCTTTGTGTAGCAGAGTAAATTACAATAATAGTAAACATACAAAATAGTACTTACCCCGCACTTGCTTCTCCAGAAGTTTTTTCCCTAATTTTAATCAAACTCTATTAAAATTGAAATGTCATATGACATTAAAAACTACCTTACATGCACTTGCTTTAATATTATTTTATGAAATGAGTTCATATTACCAAAAAATGACAATTTATGTAAATAATAGTATAGCATATCTGCATTATGAAATACGTTTCTATTTGGTAATTAAAATTCTAAACTTTAATGCATAAGCAAATAACAGTAAACCTTCAAAAGTCTTTTATAGTATGAATATTAAAATTTTAACTTTCCTGACTAATTCTTAAAGCTAAATTTTAAAGGAAAAACACATTAAATTTAACTAGGCCAGAGAATATGGAACATTTTAAGTTGTAGAACCTGTTTAATTTTTGCCCTGAAGTAATGGCTGTTGCTATTTTTGTTAGCAAATGTTATTTTCTTACTCCATATATACTCAAGATAAACTTACCCCAGAGTCTTTGGTAAACAAAGCCATTACCTTATTTTCCTGAATATAACAGAGAAACTTTATTCTTTCTAAAATCAATTTCTTCAACTGACAGTTGAAAGACAGTGACATTCAGAAGCCACTCTTTATGTCACTTTTTGACTGTTTCTCTATCCTGAGATTAATGACAAAGAAGTTTATTTGAAATTCACCCGAAGTATTTTCACAATACTTCAAAGTAAGTCTACGTGAGTATTCTAGTCCATGTTGTTCAGCTCTTATCAACAACCAGTGTCTGGAGTAATAGTAAAAGAAATAGGTAGTTGTTTAGGTATTATTTCAATAAAGAAAGAAAAACTAGTGATGTTTTAATAGATGCAGTCCTTTGGATAAGACCTCAGGAAAGCAGTGTGGGATCTGAAGTCTTTGTACAATTGAACAGGAGGCCAGTTAAAGATGACTGATTAGAGACATGCACTGTATTCATTCTCTTCTAAAAATCCCAGTAAAAATGATGGGAAGGTCAATACACAAGGAAAAAGAAAATAAGAATGAGACAACAGCTACAATATTTTGGAACCTGAAAAACCTGAGATGGTTGTCCAGTAATGCAGGAAAGTTTAAATCTAGACTGGTAGTGAGGAAAACCAAGGATCAACCAGATTGAAATCCCAGAACCTCTGAAAGGTGGTGCATTGATTGATTGATTGATTGGTTCTTCCTTCACAAATCTATGGTTACTTGGAGTAATTTATAGATAATTGCTGTGTTAATAGAAAAAGACCTATAAGTATGATTAACTTAATTAATTTGGTCTAGGACTAGGTTAAAGGTAATTCCTAGGTGCAGGAATTGATGATGAAGTTGGGTAAAGGTGTGACTAAAACTGCAAGTTTCATGCAAATCTGTTTGAGAAGTAGTCAGATCCTAGATCCCCTCTTTGGCTCTACCCAGCAAGATGATGACCCTCTTTACCCCAGCAGCAGGGCAGCATTGGTGAATACTGGACCAGGAGACCCAGGACCACATAAGAAGGGGACTGTTGTACAGGAAACGAAGGTATAGTGGCAGTTGGCACCCACAGCCTTCTGCGCTACTCTCCTTTTGGAATGCTGGTAGCCAGGTTTGTGTGTGTGTGTGTGTGTGTGTGTGTGTGTGTGTGTGTGTGTGTACACTTTGTCCCTTTTCTGTCAAATAGTGATTGGCATAGTATAGGTTAAGTAACATTTTATCATCTTTGTTAATGGATTTATGTTCAAATACATTATTATTAACATCATTATTAGGTTTTGCAGGAAACAATAAGTTGAGTATTACAGCAGAAATATAAAAAGCCTCAAGAAATATCCATTTTAGTAACATGTTAGGCAAGTACTTGTTGACTTTAAATCTTAAGTTTCTTTCTCATTTAATAAGGATGATAGTATACTTAACCTTATAAGATTGTTTTGAGGATTAAATGATATACATAAAATGCTTAGCATAACACTAGACAAGTTCTTTAGTAGCAATTATTTTGTTGATGTTATTACTAAATGATTTTTATCATCTATGTCTGGTATTCTGAAATGTCTCTGGATTTTGTATTTGTTGACTTTTGTAAATATATGCCTCTGCCAGCATTGGTCTAGGACTAAATTAAAGAATAGGTCTTGTTTTATGCAGCATCTAGTGCAATGGTTTGCATGAGTTTATTTTTAAAGGTAGTTGTGGCACAATATTACATTTTAGCAATCATCTTTATTTTGACATTGAGTGAATCAAAGTAAATAGATTCTTCCATAATCATAAAGAATTAATTGTGACCTAGATTAGGACTAAAACCTGAGCTATTTTTTCCAACCAGCCTGGTGTTTTCTTTGTGAGTGGTAGATTCCTTGAATCAGTGCTTCAGAGCAGGCCCTGGCATGCTTCAGCTGCCAATTAGACCATTCTCCTGGTCACTTTTTGCAGGCATTTGGACCCATTATGTTCTTTTTGCATTGCCTTTACAAATTCTAAGTCTGTGGATTCTGAGTTGTCACATGGAGATTTAAACTTGGATAATGAGCCTGGTTGGGACAGACTAAAGTGTTACCTACTTAGTCATTAGCTGTTATCAATCTTAAACTAGGGTAGAATTTTGTGGAAAAAGAAACAATGACTGGGGTTTGGTTGCAGTGTTTCATCTGCATTGCATTTATAGCTGTGGATTTTGAACCATTACATGGATTTTTGACTCTGCCAGTTGTGAGTAAAACAAGCAGGACCACACAGTTTTTCTGGCTGATGGAAAAGATTTTAATTTAAACTTTGTATTCTAGCCAAGTTAAAGCTAGCACTTGATTTAAGTGGAAGGGAGATGGTTGATGAATTAAGTTTCAAAAGCAGACTTTTTAAAGCCTTCTAATTGCTTATCATAGGATGTTGCCTCTAATTGCTGTGCATTAATTATTAGCATCTGGGCATCAATTTTGTGTTTCTCCAAAAACTTTTCTTATTTCATCTGATTTAATCCTTAATAGCATGCTGTGAAGTATGCCAAATCCTTGAGTAATGTTGTTTTGCTATAATGTTGATGAGGGGAAAAATGGATTCCCAGCCAGGGCCATTGCATGTGTGGAGTTTGCATGTTCTCCCGGTGTCTGCGTGGGTTTTCTCCAGGTAGTCAGGTTTCCTTCCACCTCCCAAAGATGTGCACATTAGGTGAATTGGCGTGTCTGTGGCCCCAGTCTGAATGAATGTGGGTGTGTGAGAGTGCACTGTGATGGAAGGGTGTCCTGTCCAGGGTTGACACTTACCTCGCCCCCTGAGCTGCCGAGATAGGCTCTGGCCAGGTGTGACCCTGAACTGGAATAAGATGCTTGGGAAAGGAATGAATGAATGAATGCAAATGATTATGAAATATAAATTTGTATTATATATGATAATCATACAAATGCACTATAATAAACGATGCTTTTAGAAAGCGCTCATTGAGCCGCCGTATTTGTGATTGTTTTTGAACCGCATGATGGTAGGAGGTGCTCCTTCCAATTTTCACTTTGCAAACATTTATACCTTGATTTAACCCACTGCTGTCACTCACTGATTCACCAAAAATTGGGTAAATAATTGTCTTACTTGTTTTTACTTCTCTTTCTTAAATGTATATCTAGCTTACATTTATTTCAGTGTTTAATATTAGAAGTGTTTTGAGTGTTTATTTAGAAGTTTGGTGATTTTCTTTTTGACCAGAAATATCCTGTAGGAACTTAACTTTTGTTTATATCAATGAGCCTTTGGTAAAATTAGTTTAGTTATACATCATTTCACTTAGAGTCACAGCCCCCAAAACCTATCAACAACATTGTGTGGACTTACTGTACTACCATTTCCCTTTTGTGGGTAAGGAGACTGAGGCCCAAATTAGTTACGTGGATTTGTTTAAAGTCATTCACCTAACTGGAATTGTACCTAGTGAGTTTTTTGATTCTTCATAATGTATTGGCATAGACTGTTTGTTCAAAAATACATATATATTGTAAGTGCAGTTAAGGGTTCAGTCTACAGAACTAAATTTTAATTTAAATTTTAATCTGCCAGGGATTACACATCTGGAAAATTATTTGAACTTGCTCCTGTTGGTGTACATCACCCATGGAGCTAGTCAGACGGAGTGATGAGATTTTTATCTCATATTTGAATGTCTTTGACCTCTTAGAATATGGAGACTTAAAAGCAAAGAGCATCTTGTTTTCTGTGGCACAGCTCTGTGGCACATCATAAAGGTCATTGTCTTATTTTCTCATGGACATTGTTCCCGAAGTGAAGAATATTGTCCATATCTTTAGCATAAGCAGTCTGTGAATGTGTCCCAATGGTTTGGCATTGCAGTATTCTCTAGAAATAACCTAATTGATTATAAAAGTATCCCATAATCTGAAGTGTGTGGAGTTTGTATTTATTAACTTTTGCATGTATGCTGTCTATGTACTTTCCTCAGATTAAAAAAATACCCAAATAACATACACTACCCTCCTTAAACTACTTTACAGTGATTTGAGGAAGAAAAGAAAATGTATGTTTGGAAAGTGCCAACTTAATTCAGGTTGTAATTTTCTGCTTTTTGGTCTAAAAAATCTGTTTTCAAAATAAACTTTTGTAGAAAATGATTTTGCAAGTCTTTTTTTAGGACTTAAAGAATTTCTTATATCTTAGGTGCTGATATAAATACTGAGCAACCTCACAGCAAAATATTTTAATTTTTTAGAGTATCAACTTTATGTAAAAAAGCTGTGAAAATATGATTTTTAAAAAAAATTTTGAAATCACCTATATGCTAAGAAGAAGGTGAAGACTGTTTTAGTATTAATTCAGTATATTATTACCATTCTCTAATTGTTTTAAGGATGTGGATTAAATCATGTAAGCCTTGTTTTTTAATTTTAAAAATATATTTATAAAAAATATCCTGAGGAACATATGATGAATGGTATTTGTTAAAGAACTTAATAGATACTTTATCTATACAGTGTTTCCTTTGGATTTCAAAAAGGTTTCGGGAAATGACTTGGACTTTGAAAAAAATTTTGGTGGAAAGGTTCCATAGAAATGTCAAGATTGGCTAAGATTGACCTTGTCACTTGTGGGGGATTCAAACAAAGGTCCCTTTGTAACAAGAAAAACTGTCTCTGTATTGGGAGTTCATTGGAATTTCTTTTCTAGCAGAGAAGAGTAATACGAATGACCAGAACAGGGCACAATAGGAATGTTTGTGTTCATCTGCTGAAGTTGTCCTGTGATGTAGCTTCTACTTCTTATTCTCTTGAGTCTTGTATATATTTGATACACACTACTTAGTTATAAATATTTAGGTGTACATTTGTGAATGTTTTTAGATAGCTCTGAAAAAATCTGCTGTGAATAAGATGCTTTCCAAGAAATCCTCAGCAAGCGTTCTTACAAGTTGAGATTTTACTTGAAGGCATTCAGTTGAAAAGAAAGCTGGAGTGATTAAGTTATGAAATTATTCTCTTGGATTTATCTAAGTGGCATTAAGGATTTTTAGGAAGACTGGTTTAAAAAATGTATGTCACAGGTATAGATTTAATTATTTTATCTTTGATTTTTGGAGGATCTCATATAGTCGTTTGAGAATCTGTGTTTTTCAGGTTTTAAAAATATTAAATATGGGAGGAGTTTGGTTTACCTCACTTATGCTTATGCCATTCCTAGGGGTCACTGTATGCCTCCTGTTTTGAACCTTGACTTATTTTTTAATCCTTTTTCTTTTTTCAGTCTTCCTGGCCAATACCCAGTTTACTTTCACAAAGCTGCTTTTGTGATTGTAATATAATTTTATTTGTCCAGAATATTATTTTACCACTGTTTTAATAAATTTAGAGATCAGGATATCATTTTATTAATATTTCAGAGAGAGAGACACTAAGTGATTTTCTGTTACTTATGGAGTACCTTTTCCAACTTAGAATGGGGAAAACAGTATAATTATTTAGAACTAAGATACGTTTTCTCTGCATGCTGTTGAATAAAGCATATTTTTCCGGACTCTTTGAAGACCCCAATATTTGGAAACTCAGGTGTTCAAACTGGAGAAACTTGCTTGCCTTTATCTATTTTATTCCAGACTTTCCTGGCATGAACTAATTACCAACTTTGAATACTAGTTTTTATTGATCACATTTATTTTTCCTGAGACCTGCATAAGGAATGTTAATCTCATCCTTAGACAGATCACTTTGTCCCTCTGCATGTCAGCTGCTAAATGAACTTTCCATCAGCATGGAACTAATGTTTATCGGAATAACTAAATAATCTAAAACCAGGGCCCTAAGGTTTCACTTGCTGTGAGTCTGTTATCACCAGCTCACACTGGAGAATTCTTTTTCTTACCATTGCTTTTTCTAAACAATAATTTCTATCCGTGGTATGTGGATTTGGAAGTTAGTCTTTTAGAGACTTAGCTTTGCAGACATTACCTTAGGCTCAGAAGTCTGACTTAAATCAGGGTCTGGATGTAGTGAAAGCCTCCTGGGGATGGTTTGAAAAAATCTAGCTGTACATGTTGCTACAGTATTTATTTATATCTATTTTTATTTTTTATTTTTGAGACAGAGTCTCGCTCTATTGCCCAGGCTGGAGTACAGTGGCGTGATCTTGGCTCACTGCAGCCTCTGCCTTCCATGTTCAAGCGATTCTCCTGCCTCAGTAGGAGAATCTACTACTCCTACTGGGACTACAGGCACATGCCACCATGCCTGGCTAATTTTTTGTATTTTTAGTAGAGACGGGGTTTCACCATGTTAGCCAGAATGGTCTCGATCTCCTGACCTCATGATCCGCCCGCCTTGGCCTCCCAAAATGCTGGGATTACAGGCATGAGCCACTGTGCCCAGCCAGTATTTATTTTTAATGTGGGAAAGAGTTGCTAGAGGTAGCAAACATATGAATAACCTGAGGATAGGAAGGTAACGTATGAAAATGGTTTTCTGAGAGGGAACGTTCATGCTCTGAAAAACAGATGGAGCAGAAAGCTTTATAAAGAAGCTGCCTTTTCCTTTCCTCTGGAATTGTTGAACAACATCTTTGAGGGAAACATGACATAATATTTTGATAATTTTAGTGAGTGTATGTATTTGAGCAAGGCTGGTATTGAGTTGTAGGCTGTTTGGCATGGTAAAAGTTTGAATTCTCCAGAGCTGCTTTTAATCCATTTGCAATGCCTGTGTTTTTTCTTGTGAGCAGTGTGTATCCTCATCAGGGGCTGCCTCAATGCATATCCATCTGGAGGAGGCTACTCAGCTTTAATTAAAGAAACAGTGGTTGAGAGGGTCCGCCTACAACCACTGAAAGTAATAAATGTACATGGTGTAAAATTCAAATACTGCCAAAAAGTATGCACTGAGAAACAAGTCCCCCTGTATGACTGGTTTGGGGCGTAGCTTCCAGAGATACTCTCTGCACATACAAGTACAGTTTTTTTAATACGATGATTGCCTACCATACACACTGTATGCACCAGTACCTATTTACTTTTAGTCCATCAAACAGCCAGAGTCTTAAGAATAACACCGAGTATAATTTTTTAAAATCTTTGTATGCTCCCCAAATAAGCCCAAGTTTTCTTTATGTAGTTTCTTCTACTTAGGAACTTTAAATGAATAGGTCCACATGAGTTATGGACTTTATTGTGAAAATAGTCATTGCTCTGAATATGGGATTCTTATTGAGCATTACATCTGATTCCTTGATAAAATATTTTAGGGTGAGAGCACCTACTGTGTACCAGGCACTGTGCTAGGCATTGGAAATGTAACAGTAAGCTTGACAAGCGAGGTCCTTGTCCTTGAGACCTGGTGGGATAAACACACACAGAACAGATGCCTGAGAAACAGAGTATTCCTTAAAGTAGGACCTTGGCCTGGATGGGGGAACTGAGGAAGTGACCTTTCCTTACCCCTCAATCTTCTTTCCTTTCCTCCTTTGTCAAATTAATCTCATTAGATTAATAGTCTTTATCAGATGTTTTAATTCAAATATAATTCAGTCTAGTCTCTAGATATAGAAATGCCATACTAGTCACATGTTAATTGTTTTATATTTGCAAGTAACTTCATTAAATGGGCACCTGGGATGTATGGAACAGCTTAATAAACCAACATTTCTGCACTGTAGTTAAATTGATCCTTTAGCTACAATATGAAAATTTTTATTTAAAGAAAAACAGAGCCTGGATTATGTCACAGTGCAAAATACGAAACACATTTCTAGTTTGAATGCATAATTCTTGGATTTCCCTGCCTCTGAATGATTTCTAAATCTGGAAGATTTGGATCCTGTCAATTTATTTAGCTTACGGAAAAGTCATCTGATCTATACTTCAGGTTCATTAGAAACTCCTTTTACATCATGTCCTTAGGTAACAGTTTTATGAAAATTTCTGTAACTCATGATTGCAGTTTTGTTCTTACAATCTCCAGGTATTTTATTTAAAAATAAGAAATAAAATTGTACAACCTATCAACTGTGTGATCATTAGCTTGATTAAGATATAGCTCACCTGCTGTTAATTTATTTATCTTAGTAAGCCATGTGGTGTGCATGAGCTTATTTTACTCTTTCACTTTGTTCTGTGATTAATAAACTACTTCCATGGAATTTTGGGATTGAGTTTAGAGGCCATATATCCCATTCTGTAATTTACAGATAGTATCCCAGATCTCACAGCTAATTAGAATTAGAGCTAAGGCTAGAACTCAGGACTTCTGACCCATTTTATAGGAAAGGGTGGTTCACTGTGTTTTTAGTATGTTATATATTTACGTGGCTTAAAAGTCCAAAGAGGCTGTACACGTTGGCTCACGTCTATAATCCCAGCACTTTGGAAGGTGGGGGTGGGTGGATTGCTTGAGCTTTGGAGTTTGAGACCAGCCTGGGCAACATGGCGAAACCCTGTCTCTACAAAGTATACAAAAATTAGCCAGGCGTGGTGGCACATGCCTGTAGTCCCACCTACTTGGGAGGCTGAGGTGGGAGGATCACTTGAGCCCAGGAGGCAGAAGTTGCAGTGAACCGAGATCACTCCACTGCACTCCATCCTAGGTGACAGAGACTCTCTGTGTCTTAAAAAACAAAAACAAAAACAGAAAAACCCAAAAATGGCCAAAGATTATCAAATAGCATCTGTTTATATACTGAGAAGCCCAGACGCGTTGACTCTGTTACCCTTCACCTTCTGTTGATGTATTATATTAGTTGTCTTGTTTATCCTCCTAGCATTTCCTTATGTAGATACAGGCAAATAAAAATGGTTTCTTATTGTCCCACTTTTCTTTAAAAACAGCGTGCTGACTGTATATGCGATTCTGCCACTTTTTTTTTTCTCTCAAGAAAGTTTAAATTTAAGCTCCTGAAAAAAGTCAGTGTGCCTACAGATACCACTTTATTTTGTCCACTTAGAACTAGGTTGCTATCTTTAGCTTAATTCTAGCATATGAGAAATGTGAGATAGTTCTATGAAGACTGTAGTGAAAAAAAAAAGATTAGAAATGTAAAGTACAAGGTGGGAAATTATTGAAATTGCTATTATTTAACCCAAAGAAGAAAAAGTTTGGGCATTATTACTTTATAGATGAGGAAAGGGGAGGCTCAGATGGAGGTAAAGTACCTTACCCACAGTCACCCAAGCACTCGGAGTCTCAATGGGGGCCTGCACTCAGATTAGCCTGCCAGTATTGAAGTCTCAATTCCTCATCTGCTACAGGAGCCTGATACATTTGTGAGTGACAAGTATAGTCGATACTCATTATTTGCGGATTCCATATTTGCAAATTTACCTATTTGCTAAAATTTATTTTTAACCCAAAATCAATACTTGTGGTTTTATGGTCATTCACAGTCATGCAAGCAGAGCAGCAAAAAAAAAAATGTGTTTCCTGACACGCGTGTTTCCAGCTGAGGTTGAACAAGGCAGTCTCTGCCTTTTCTTATACTATAAACAAGTGTCCTTCTGATGGTCGATTAAGTGCCACAGTTTTTTGTATTTTTGTGCTTTTTGTTGATCATTTTGCTGTTTAAAGTGATCCCAAAGCATCGTGCAAAACTGTTTAGTGTTTACAAGAAGGCTGTGGTGTCTTACAGAGAAAATGTGTGTTTAAGGTAAGCTCATAGTGCTATTGTAAGTTAGAGTTCTAGTGCTGTACTGCTGTTGGCGTGAGTTCAATATTAACAAATCAACAATATGTCATAGTTTTGTGACTGCAGTGATAGTGCCATTGGCGTGAGTTCATTGTTAGTGAATCAACACTGTATACATTAAATAAGGTGTTTTTAAACTGAAACACTCAGAAAACAAAGTTATGTATTGATCAGTTGATGAAATTATTGTGACCAGAGGCTTGTAGGAACCCACACTGTGTTTTCACTAGTTCAGTATTCCAGTAATTCAATGTTCACAGCAACTTCATGGAACATAACTTCTGGGAATAATGAGAACAGATAGTAAATGCAAAGCCAGAAATAGTCAGCTTCCTGCCAGTTCTAGCTATGTTTTATTTCTTTTCATTCTACCCTAAGGTACAGGAGGAATAATTTAGTTTAGCTATAAGAAAAAAAAAAACAACTAGCTGGGCGTGGTGGCTCATGCCTGTAATCTCAGCACTTTGCGAGGCCAAGGTGGGTGAATTGCTTGAGCCCAGGAGTTCAAGACCAGCCTGGGCGACAGAGTGAAACCCCATCTCTACAAAAAATACAAAAATTAACCTGGTGTGATGGTGCATTCCTGTAGTCCCAGCTACTCAGGAGCTGAGGTGGGAGGACTGCCTGAAACCGGGAGAGGTCTAGGCTGCAGTGAGCTATGATTGTGCCACTGCACTCCAGCCTGTGACAGAGTGAGAGCCTGTCTCAAAAGAAAAAGAAAAGAAAAGAAAAAACAAACAAACCCATGACTTCCTATTGAGATAACTCAGGACTATGAAATACAAGGTTAAATTGCTTATTATAAAACATCATAACAATTGAGACATTTTGAAAGTTGCTGACAGTGGTGTTACTGATAGTATAGCATGGTGACTAAGAGTGTCATCAGTCCACCTGGATTCCATTCCCTTCTGTACCATTTGTCCTGTGTGACCTTGAGCAAAATACCTAACATCTTTGTGCTTCAGCAGTCATGTGTGTAAAATGGAGATGATACCACTAACTACTTCTTTGGGTTATTATGGAAGTTAAACGAATCAGTCAGTCAGTCTATGGAAAGCCATTAGACTAGCTCCTGGTATACAGTTAGTGCTTTTTAAATGATTAGAGTAATTGCATCTCCTCATTTGCCCAGGATAATTTTAGTTGTGATTAGCTGCCCCTTTCATTCTCAAAAGATATCCCAATTTGGAGGATAAATTGTATGGTCACCCTCTAATGTAAGGATGATTCATAATTATCAGCTAATACTGAATTATTGGCTATTTCTGTAAATACCTGTTGGGACGATTGATTTCTTTTTCTTCTTCAAGAAGTAAGTTGAAAAACTCCCTCCTCCTGGTTTTGGAGGGCTGCTTGGAGAAGAGAAATGGGAGAGGAACAGGTTGAGTATTCACATGTGGCATAATTGTGTGTTGTTTCCTTATTTTGTGTTTTTGCTCAGTGAAAGAAAGTGGTCTAGAATCTGGTTCTGGCATAGAGAGATTATATCTTTCCCACTGGACAGCTCTTTCTCTAGTAGCCAGGAAAGACTTGTGGGAAATATAGTTTATATTTTAGAACAGTTTTAGGTTATAGGAAAATTGAGCAGCAAGTACAGAGTTCTTATATACCCCCTGATGCTGCTCCCACCCCACACAGCTTCTACCCTACTATCAACATCCCACATCAGAATGGTACATTTGTTGTAATTGATGAAGCTACATTGACACATCACTATCACCTAAAGTACATAATTTACATTACGGTTTGCTCTTGATGTTCTACACTCTATGGGATGGATAAATGTATAATGGCATGTGTTCATCATTATTAGTATCATACAGAATAGTTTCACTGCTCTAAATATCCTCTGTGTTCCACCTGTTCATCCCTCCCTCTCCTTAAGCCCCTGACAACCAGTGATCTTTTTTATTATTTCTATAGTTTTGCCTTTTCTAATGCTGTTGAGTTTTGCAGTAGTTATTTGTCCCTTGTCCCACATAGTCTTTTGAGATGGCTATGAGACATAAGAGGCACTATTGAACAGGCAGGCAAGCAGGTTTGGATTTGGGCCATTTGAAGGCTGGAGACATATTTGGGAGTGGTTAGCATGTAGATGGAATTTCAAGCAATGGTGCTGAAAGAGATTATTGGAGAAAGACTAGAGATAGAGAAGATAAAGCTGAGCACCAAGCCCTGACACCTTCCAACACTAAGATATTGAGAAGTTGGGGGTGGGGGAGGACTGGCCAAGAATGCTGAGAAGGAGATGCCAGTGGGAGTAGAAGGAAACCCCGGATTATGTGTGCTCTAGAAGGCAAGCAGGATGTAATTTTTTTTCTTCTTCTTCCATATTTATAAAGGAAGAATCAACATACCTTAAGAATGGTTTCAATCTCTTGTGGCATTCTTTTGAGGATCAGTATTTTGCGCCATGTCAATGAGATACAGAGTTGTAGACAGGAAAGGCTCTGCGCAAGAGGCAGGTGCGACCGGCTCATTCAGGGTGTCATCAGTGTAAAAAGGATACACTTTTGGAACTCTGGAGTCATGGCATGGCCCCTGTGCCTTCCAGAAGATTATTGGAGTAATCAGCATCACTTCCAAAGAAGTGAAAAGTGAAGGGGAGGTAGAGCACTTCAGTAAATGCAGTAGATGCTGTTGAAGTTTCACAGTAGCTGTGGAATGTGGATGAGTCTTCTGCTTTCATTTGTTTTCAGAATGTGGAAAGCACAGGTTGTGTTTAAAGACAGGCCAGCCTAGGCAGAGCCTGCCATGGCCAGGCACCATGGTGCACACCTGTAATCCCAGCACTTTGGGAGGACAAGGCAGGTGGATTGCTTGAGGCCAGTAGTTCAAGACCAGCCTGGCCAATATGGCAAACCCCATCTTTACTAAAAATAAAAAAGTTAGCTGGGCGTGGTGGTGTGTGCCTGTAGTCCCAGCTACTCTGTAGGCTGAGACATGAGAATTGCTTGAACCCAGGAGGTAGAGGTTGCAGTGAGCCGAGATCACATGAGTGCACTCTAGCCTGGGCAACAGAGCAAGACTCTGTCTCAAAAGAACAAAACCAAAAACAAAAGCAAAGGAAGAGCCAGCCATATAGAACAGATACATTCATTCTAAGGGGAACATGTTCATCCTCAATATGTTTCTTCTTATAAAATAAACATCCAAGGGTTTTTTTGGGTCATTTGTAGTGATTTGATTTCCAAAAATAATTAGCTTTATAAACATAAATTGCATAAGTAATGTCCCCATTTTATAACTCTAAGTTGTCATTATGGAAGGGATAGGCTGTGCTGTAAAATTGTTGACTTTGAAGTAAAATGCTTATTAAGGATCATGAGTACCAATTTTCACATATGTCGTAGCCTATGTTGTAGCCAAAGTCGACATTTGAGAAATGGTTAAGGTTTTACAGCAACGTTTACTTTATTATCAGAATATAGTATATTCAGTCAAGTACTATTAATACCATTTCATATCGTAATTATGCCATTTCAAGGGAATTTATTAGAAAGGTTTACATGGATTCTTCTTTGCATTACCCTCCACTCCTGCCACCCCCCCACCCCACCTGCAGCCATCCACGTAAAAATTCATTATGTTACTGCCTTGGATTTTTGCCAATATAGAATAAATAATTGGATTTAGCTTCTGTTACAGTTTTGTCTGTCTCAGATTATGAATGTAAGTTGGTAAGATTTTCTGCCAATTTTAATTCACCAAGATTGCATTAAAATTATGAAGAGACGATTGAATGTAATTTTTCTTTCCTTTACTCCTGTAATTGAACTGTAAAAGTTCTCAATTAATTACAGTTCTTACAGAGTATCAATTATTGCAATTTGCAAACTCCAGAGCCTTTATAATGAAAGATAAACATTTTACAACCATACATTTGTCAACGTTTGATGCTAATTGCAGCAATTAATTCGTTCTTTAATGTTTAATGTTTTATAGGTTAATGAAAGCTGGCATTCTCTTCCCTCTTTATGTTAATATGAGAAACTTTTCAGGAGTAGGGTACAGATTGATACATGTATAAAACTATTTTTGCAGTCTATTGCTTGTCTTAGCAACTAAATGAAAACCAGAGGTTGCAGAGGTTTGCTTATTCTTTTCTCTGCATATGTAGAGTGGAGGCCTGCAGGTTCCTGACAAACAAGAGCAGAAGTTTAATGAGTCCCTAAAAACTCAGTTTGTTTCTAAATAAAACATAAATTTGGAGAGTTGAAATGAGTGATTTCAGAAACCTCTTTGGCTTGGGTGAAAATTGCATCTTCTCAAGTATTTCTTAAATGCCTTGTCATTTGAAGATGATAATAGTATCTATGACCATTTATTCAGCCCAGTGTGCTGAGTACTGTGGTAAGTTCTTTTAGTACTTTATGTTATTTAATCCAGAATTCAGACAAGATCTGACTCCAGAGCTCTCTCTACAGGGAGACAAGTTCAAATACCTGCCCTGGCAGCCAGGCCATATAGCTTAGTAAAGTAGGATGGGTGTGAGATGGGTCTGAGTAGTGGGATCACCATAAACTGGGCTGTGAGTACAGCGCCAGTCATTCCAGCCATGGTGGAATGTAAGCTCAGTGTTGCCAGATCTACTGATGTTTCAGAAAAAGTGGGAAATCTAGATGTGTGGGTGCACTTCCTTAATTTTTAAATGTTTGGAGCTAATTTAGGTTTTTAAAATACATGTGTAGGGCAGTTTCAACCCACCAGCCATCCATTTGAGAGCTCCGAAGCACACTGTGTTGGCTTGATCTTTTGGTCTGAATTAGCTTGATACAATGGCTGGGGCTTGTGCCTATGCATCAGGTGGCACTCTTGAAGTTCCTCAGAGAGCCTCTCTACAAATTCAGCAGGGGTTGGAGGGAAGAAGGGAAAATATATCTTAATGAATTATATTAATAAATACTAATATGTAATTTGAGGCATTGAGGAAATACAATTATATAACTTTCAGTGATAAAGCATGCTGATCTTTCCTTCATTTTCCTTCCTGTTACAGTTAATTGGGCAATCAGTTAAATAATATGCCTTTGTCAGATTTTTTATATTAGAGCACCTAAAGGATCAGGTAGATTTCTTTTTTATAGTATTAACACAGAAGTAAAAACAAAGTAGCCTTTCTTTAAAAGAATGAGGAAATGTATACATACATATACATACTCATTTTTTTTTCTGAATTAAAAAATAGTTAAGAAATTTGAGTTGGCTTGGCAAAGAAAACTGAGAAAATGCTTAAAATTAGAAAATATATAGACATATACTTTTTATAAGCATTGCAAAGAAAAATGATGGAGACTATTTTTATGTTCAATCTCTAACTGTCCTAGGCATAGTGTAAGTGCCCTCCGCATGCAAGTCATGATTTACTGTGAATGGGTCTCCTGTATATACTGCTTTTAGCCTGTATGTTTTTTAAAAAATTGAATTTACCATTCTGTGTCATAAGACTAGAGGGTAAAGTTCAGATTTTGAAAGTCTAAGAAAATGTGATGGCATCCCATTCATCTTGTATTAAAGGTTCTATAAACCGTAATGGTTAGATCTTTGACCTCTGTTCCTACACCTGCAGCTAGTCCTAAATCAAAGTGTTTAAGCCTGACATGGGCTGTACCTGTAACTCAGTGTGGAAGCTGCATATTGTAGGCTATTTCTACTGTTGGAGAGGGAGGGCGGGCATTGTGGTAACTCTTTTTACCTTTTCATATGTTCATTAACTTTCCAAGGAAATGAAATGCTTCCCTCTTCTTTTTCTACGGTTACATTTCAAGCTAGTGTTAAAAAAAAAAGTGCAAGGAATTAATGTACCAAACCCTGGAGATGTGTAAAAGAAAAACCTTTAAAATTGTATTTTCAAAAATCTTGAGTCCTTTTAACATTCCTATAGATAATTTAGTAAAGATAAATCGTACTTACTTTTTCATGAAGCTAATTGCCTCTGGTTTGTATCCCCTGAGAAATACTAATTTACAAATTAGAACCTACAAATGATTTTTGTTTCAAAGACCACTTTTGTTTCAGAGACCACTTTCCAGGGAACAATTCTCAATAACGGAAGGAGGGTGTTTTAGTTCCCCCTTCAAAGGAAGGTATTGGCACTGTATGTTTTGTTTTGTTTTGTTTTGTTTTACAAAGAAGCCAGATGGTATTTATTTTGCATAGCTGTAATAAGTTCTAAGGAAAGCACTTGGAAATGGTACTAATGTTTAATGGAAAGATGTATAAACCCACTTGGGAACTGTAAAGCATTATGCAAGGTATAGTTTAGCTATTTAATATAATAACAGGTAATCATTCTGTGCTGGCTTTGTTATTAGCACAGGTGCCAGGGCATTTTGGGGCTCTGACATTTTATAGAAACCAGAGTAGCTGCTGACAACTCAAACAGTATTGTTACCGTGGCAGGGCCTGGATCCCACAGTCTAGCTATCCAGTGGTGCCTACCTTCTGTTCTGCAGGTATATCTTTCTCCATCCCTTTTAAACCGGAGACTATCACCCTGTGAAAGGATCACAGTGCAGCCTTCCCCTGAGTAAATGACAAATAGGCAGTTTCTTTAGTATTTTTCACATTCCTGCACCTGGCTGGGAGCCAGCTCTGCTTTTGTGGCAGAAAGTGAGGCTGGAGAGAATGTTTGGGAGCCAATCTTTGGTAGGGAAGTGACAAAATGCAAGGGTATATGTATATGGGCCAAAGTTAAGATAAACTTTTTTTTGGTAGTTTTCACTGTAATTATTAAGAGGCAATTAAAAAAAAGAGGTAACACTAGAAAATGACAAACTCCCAGAAGGTGTGATTACTTACAAATCAGCTGCTCTGGGTCCTGGTGAGTGACATAGTCCTGGTGATCAGTGTCAGCATCCTTCACAAGCAATGAAAGGAGAGTTCGCAATGACGCTGCTTCACAGGATGTAGATGGGTCCAGGCATTTAGGCTGGCTGAGAGGCATAAAGTGGCTGAGATTTGGTTGGGAAGAACCAAGATGAGGCGTGCCTCTGTGTGCTTTACGTAGACGGTGTTGTATGGTTAGAAGCCAGTAGTTAGAAATTCGGTTTGAAAAGCCGGGTCTGATGTTTCAGAGAAAAAGGGTAATGCGGCCAGAGACGTTTTTAGAAGCAGATTTTGGTAGATTCTTTTTACCTTTTAAAAAAATACATATATATATCTTTTTATGAGATGAGGTTTTCCTACATTGCCCAGGCTAGTCTCGAACTCCTGGGCTTAAACAATCCTCTTGCCTCAGTCTCCTGAATAGCTAAAATTATAGGCATACACCTCTGTGCCTGGCTTGGTAGAGTCTCTAAAAGGGGATTGATGCAAGAATAAAAGGGAGAAGAGTAAATACCATAAAAAGCCCATTGCAGAAGGTGTGTGTTTCAAAGCCAGGGTAGAGAAATAAGTAAGGGATGCATGTATAAAACAGAACAACATTGGTGAAATGTGACTGTTTATGGTTTACAAATTACTGATTGGCAGCAGGAAACATAGATTTAAGAATATACATGCTACAGAAATTTCCCTAAAGAAGTAACGTATTTTATAATTCTAAATTTACTGTTATTAAAGTTAGAGGCTGCCAGCAGCTTGGTTATGGTCAAATGCCAGGTAAGATTTTGGGATATGAAACATTTGACCCTTCTGAACTAAGTTCACATGCATTGGACCTCTCCGAAAGCCTTGTAAGAGGGTATAAAAGCAAACTTTCCTTAGCTTCCTACAAGTGAAACCATTATTTCCTCTTACCAGGGTACCTTGCATGGTGATTAGGCAGAAGGATAAGAGTTGTGATGTGTTAAAGGCTGTGCAGGACTGGCTTTAGTGTGGACATAACTGTCTCTAATTCCCTGGTGTGACTGGGGTGGGGGACATGTTGGCTGAATTCCCTCTCACTGACCCTACAAATACAAAGATGCTTAACATTCCACATCTCTCAGCCATTTGGATCTATAGAGTGGTTTCGGATTGTGTTCCATCAGGCCTGGAATTCCCTGAAGGCACTTTAGGGTCTGCCAATTTGGGTGTCAGGGAAGCAAATAACTGGGCCCTGGGCCTCCTGACCCTGCTACAAGCAGAACAGCTCTCTTTTATTGTGGAAGTCTTGGGACTTTTCATAAGATTCACTTGAAAAGGGATGAAACACATACAAAATCCACTATCTGGGGAAGCAGGAAAAGAGAGCATTCTGTATGTGAACAAAACTAGCTGATACAAGCCCCGGCCCTCCATCCATTTCTCTAGCTGCTGCACTTATTAAAAGGGCTTTATTGGCCAGGTACAGTGGCTCACACCTGTAACAATCCCAGCACTTTGGGAGGCCGAGGCAGGCAGATCACGAGATGTGGAGTTCGAGACCAGCCTGGCCAACCTGGTGAACCCCTGTCTCTCCTAAGAATACAAAAATTAGCCTGGCATGGTGGTGGGCGCCTGTAATCCCAGCTACTCGGGAGGCTGAGGCAAGAGAATCGCTTGAACCCGGGAGGTGGAGGTTGCAGTGAGCTGAGACCATGCCACTGCACTCCAGCCTGGTTGATAGAGTGAGACTCCATCTTAAAAAACAATAAATAAATAAATAAAAATAAAAGCTTTATTGAGATCACAATTCATATGCCATACAAATAACCCATTAAAATTGTATAATTTAGTGATTTTTAGTATAGTCATAGATTGTGCAACCATCACCAGAGTTTTACGATTTCATCACCTCAAAAAGAAATGCCCTACCCATTAGCGCTCACTCCACATTTCCCCCCACACTTCCCCAGCTCTAGGCTGCCACCAGTCTACTTTCTGTTTCTATAGATTTGACTGTTCTGGAGATTTCATATGAATAGAAAATATAAAATGTGGTCTTTGATGACTGCTTTCTTTTACCTAGCATAAAGTTTTCAAGGTTTATCCATATTGTAATGTGTAAGTAAGTACCTTTCATTGCTGAATAATATGTTATTGTGTGAATATATCACATTTTATTTATCCATTCATTAATTGATGGATATTGGGTTCTTTTTTATTTTAAATTATGCTGCTATGAACATTTGTGTTGAAGTTTTTGTGCTTTCGATTTTTATTTCCCTCGGGTATATACTTAGGAGTGGAATTGAAGGGTCATATGGAAACTATGTTTAACATTTTGAAGAACTGCCGGCCTCTTCTTAAGTGGATATGTGTAGACTTGCAGCTGGCCTCTTTACCACCTTTGCACCTCAGTTCAGCTTTTTCCAGCCCTACACCCTGCCCTTCACCCTGCTCCCTCCAGGGTTACTTTCCTAAAATACCAGAAACCCTAGTGGTTCTCTTGTTACTTTGAAACAAATTGAAACTCTCTAATAGGGCATTTCGAGTTCTACATGGTCTAGGCCCAGGCTATGTTTATAATTTCATTTAATAGTAATTTCCAAGTTCTTGCGTAGATGTTTCATTATACAAGCACTAGATGTTTCATTATACAAGTCAGTGATTATTGAACTTCCTTTTAGTTATGGACCCCTTTGAAAATCATCCAATAGCCATACGTTTCTTGCTTCCTCAAAAAAAAATATGCATGTATAATTGTACTGACAACAACAAACCTGGCATGCAAGTTCAGAGAGTTTGTGATTGCTCTGGCACCATTAGCAAACCATGAAGTTCACCAACACATTGGCTGGGCACAATCTGAGTGTTCTTTGTTCAAACTACTCTCTCACCTCTCTTCTCCCTTTTCTCCTTCCTGCTGATTGCCTAATGAGAAGCTTTCTTGCTTTTTAGAGTATCTTTCAGAGAATCTGCTGGAAAGGAAGGTGGTTTGGCTCCTTTTTCCACCATTGCTGCTCCACAGTTGTGTGTGCAGTCCTGCAGCAGGGCCTTGAGGGAATTGAACAGGGAGGGCTAGCCTCTCTGAGAACTAGATGGTGAGTGCCATGAAGACAGAGACTTTTGTTGGAATTGTCCTGGGCTGTGTATTTTATGTGTCTAGAATAGAGCCTGGCACATAGTAGGCATTCACTAAGTAGTCACTGAAAGAATGGGTAGGGAAGGGAATTGAATCTGGAACCATCAGCTTTCTGGGATGGATGAAGCTATATATAGTAGGGCCCATGAGTTACAAGGGACCCGTATGCAGATACTGGATGTTGGTTACTGGGAATGGAACAAGAGGTTAGAAGAGAGTTTCTAAGACAGATTAAGAGGATGTATTAGTTTTCTATTGCTGCTATAACAAATTACAACAAACTTAGTGGTTTAAAACAACACAAATTTATTCTTTTTCAATTCTGAAGGTGGGAAGTCTGAAATCAATTTCACTGGGCTAAAGTCATGGTGTCACTAGGCTGTTTCCTTCTGGAGGCTGTAGGGGAGAATCCGTTTTCTTGCCTTTTTCAGCTTCTAGAAGTCACTTTTGTATCGTGGCTTATGAATTTTTCTGTCTTCAAAGCCTACTGTGTACCATCTTCTCTGATTTCTACTTCTCTTCTGACTCTTATCCTCCTGCCTCCCTCTCTTATAAGGACCTCTGTGATTACTTTAAGCCCACCTGGATAATCCAGGATGATTTTCCCATCTCAGTATCATTAATTACTTCTATAAAATCACTTTTACCATGTAAGATAACATATTCACAGGACATGGACATTTTTGAGATGATGGACATTAATAATGGACATGTACATGGCCATCATTTAGCCTGCCACAGGGGGCTCTAAAAATAAACATGGCGCCCTTTGTGTTTTTGCCAAGTGTGTCTGTTCCTTGCTCAGGGCTTCTTAATTGTGACATGACTTCTTCCTCACAATGATTACGCTAAGGCCAAGGACAGTGTTTGCATGTAAAGAAATGTTCCACCACTTCTCAGTTGCTGAGAACTGTTAGTTTTCCCTGGTTCATTTCTCTCCCACATGTAACTCACTGGGGAGGTACCAACACAAAGGACTTAAAAAGGTCTGTGCTGCATCCTCCTCTAATTTTGTCATTGGTAAGTACCTACTACATTTTTAAAAAGTTGATGAGAAAGTGTTTACCTGTGATTCTGAGCAGATCTGGTGTATGGCAGGATTATGTTACACCTGCCCACCCAGACTTAATGGAAATACAGTATAGAATGAGGCTTGCTGTCCTTGAACTGCATGAACTAGAAAATGAAGAAAGCCTGCTGGCATTATTTAAAAGACTTGTGAATTCTATGAATTCATATAGGAGGAAAAGGCATTTTATTGCACTTTAAATGACAATTAATGTTAATGAGCGTGTACCATGTGCCAGATCATGTTCTAAGCACTTAACATGTTTTAGCTCATTTAGTCAGCATGAGAACCTAATGAGATCATACCATTAGATTCCCATTTTGCAAATAAGGAAATAAAGGCATGATATGGGGACATAAAATTGCCTAAGGGTATATGGCTAATAAAAGAGGGAGCTGGGGTTTGAATCCAGGTGGTTTGGCTCCAGAGCTTGCATTTGTAACCAGTACCCTGCTAACATTTCCCAAAGAGGTGATGTGCATGGTACATGATTAGCCTTGCTAGTGCTACAGTATGTACAGTGTGGCAATCTGTGAAATGGACTTTGTCTGGAAGTGTATTCACTTACAGATATTATAGAGTTTACTCATGAGGTAACAGATCCCATCTCACCAATATCGAAGGAAAATGAAAACATAAAGATTGGGAAAAAGAGGGTGGAAAGTCTGGTCTTTGGTGTCGAGGAGGTGATTTGGAAACCTAATAAGCACACTTTCCCTCTTTTCATTGTTTTATTCTATCTTTGATTTACAAGACCTTTTCTTCCTGGCATGCTTCCTTTTTCTCTTGGTTGCCAGTGGTCTTTCTTGGGCTGATTATTGTCTGTAGCAGGACTGAAGGTTGGCCCTGTGTTCTCCACTCGTTTGTTTTGTTTCAATAGATGAATAAATGGAAATTTATCATTTCCAAATCTACTTAAAATCAGGGCAAGGACTTATTTACCCCATACTTCTTATTCTTCTGATGCTTTGCTAATCCATGCTAATAATATTTAAAAAGAAAGTATTTTAAAGCCTTTGATTAAAGTTGAAGGGGAGGGTTTTGTGAAAGGGGTAAACTGGAATCAGCTGCTTCATATGAGCTGGAGCAGGATTGGAAAATATCAGAAAGGAAGTGAAATCCTATTTCCCTCACATAGACAAGCATCATTTTCCTTAGGATATTATGGCTTAGGAAATTGACCTCTAGAGTTTTTCAAAATTCTGTGCCCTGGTTCCATTTTTTTGTGTGTTTGTTTTGTTTTAATGAAACTGATGGAAGCCACAGAAAGCATTTCTTTTTTTTTTTTTGGAAGACAGCTTTCGGGGGGCATATTTAATAAAGCCTGAGATACAAGGATTTGGGGCTCACTTTAAATGTTATTTTTACCATTGGCTGAATTTGGATTTGAATTATCATGGGTGCTCCCTGAAAAAGAATTGGAAATAGTGCCCAAAGAGAAATGCGTTCTTTCCTGTACTGATTTTTATCCCAGAATGACCAGTCCACAATAGGAAAGGGGGCTTTGGCATGCAAAAGCTTTTTTGTTTTACTTGACTTCATTCCAGTATTCTGTAAATTCATTCTTGGTGCAGTTTCCAAGCAGCAACTAAGAATCCACATTCTCCCAGTTTGTTTATAATTTATTATTTATACCCCAACTGCATCCATAAAAGGCTCAAGGAAACTTACAATAAAATACATGTACTCAATGAGACTGTTTAAGTGGGAAACAAAACAAGGCAAACAAGGCAGGGTTGAAGAGAGCAAGCATGCCTAGCCACTTCTGTAAGAGGTACTATGAGTGAGGATTAAACAGCACTTCCCTTCTGAGCAGCCAAAATGGAAAGGTCACATAATTGGTTTTATAGCAATCGTATCCTAAAAGCAAATGTTCCTTAGAAGTTAGAAACCTTTCCTAGGGTTGAGTTTTCAAGAATTTTTGCCAGGCAATGGATTAGCAAAACTGTTCTTGAAGATACAAGCCTGGCATGGAGGCTGCTGTGTAAGGAGTATAAACTTCCACACGTTATATTTGCCAACCTGATTCTGACAGCTGGGAAAGCCGGCCTCTCAGCAGAGCTCACCCCCATCAGAAGTGATAATTAATGTGGTTATTAAATCATGCCTGGTAGACACTTGCTTTGTATTTTTTCTCATTCTTCTTGGAAGAATGCACTTTAATAGTGGGGCAAGGAAGAATAATAGGTACCTAGTATTGATTCATTCAGCACATCTGTTGAGTGTTTACTCTTTGTTAGGCACTGGAGATCCCGGGGTGAACAGGCATACTTGTCTGTGTCTTCATGATCATATATAAAATTAGGGGTCAGTTTTCATTAGATGGAAATTAATAGTTATATCCACATTTTAAAAACGTAATTATAAATTGAAAAGCTCTCTGTAATAACCCAGAGCATCTCAGGCCCAAGCATTCACAGACCGTTTTCTCTTCTAAGGATGTTATGATAAGAGTGCTGGCATATGTTTTCTGTCATTCATTATCCCTATTTCTGAGGAGTGTTATCCTCATTTCTGGGACAAATTAAAATATGGGTGAATGCATTTGAGTAGCACTGAAACAAAAGAATCAAGCGTGCAGGTTACCATGGAAACAAGTTCCTTTTTCTCCACTTTGTTTCTGTGAGGCAAGTTCAGATGATAAATACTTTAAATGGTCATTTTTAGGCAAAAACTCAGTCTTAATAGTATTAGAATTTCAAGGTCTTTTTTATACTGTTTTCCTATATTTGTATGGTCTTGTATATATTCCTTCTAGCAAATACATTATCAATAAGAGGAAGGGCTAAGTAAGTTGGAGCCTTAACTGATACGGAAGAGTTGAGGGACACTTGGTTTTGTAGTCTCTCTTTGCCTCTCCCTCCCCTGGCCCCCAGTACCCCTCTCCTTTTTTGGGATTTGCCAGGTGCCTTGAACTGAAGGTGTCTGTGCAGAGCTGGATTTAAATCTAAGCAGGCTCTGTGTTGTGTGGTATTAAGGCTAAGAAAACCCTTTGATTCAAAGACCAGAAAATACCCTTAGCTTATATACCCTTAGAAAATACCTCAGTCTCTGCCATATATCCAGGCTGATCTCAAAGGTTTAACAGGATGATAAGAATTGTTTAACAAAAATTATCCTAGAGATTTTAAGGACCAAACAGTAGCTATCAGAATGGGAATGAGAACTACCAGAGCATTTTTGTTTAGAACTCTTTTTTCCCCTCACATCCCAAACCACTTTTAATTTCTTATCCTCTTATTATCCATCCAGAGATAAAATTTCAGAAGAAAAGGCTAAAATAGAATGTGAGAAGACATATAGTCTGCTGAAAAGGAAGTCTCTTGAGACCTTTACCAGATCAGGATGTAGGTAGGATATTTTCTGATTGAGAAGCAACTGTCCTATATTTGTGTCGAATCAACACATTTCCTATCACTGTTAGTCTCTGGTGAAGGATTCATCGATGAGCTTCATCTTCCTCAGCACTGATTTTGATGTATTGTTAATGGCTGCCTGGAGTGCAAACTCTGCATGTAGGCAGAGTGCCAGACAGTTACTGATGCCTGCCATGGGTTAGTGGCGGTGCGCTTGCCATGCTTTTATTCTCCCTGATCCAGTATGTCAAAAGAAACTGACTTCAACCTTCAGTGTCAATGTGACCACCAAAAAAATTCCAAATAAAGCAGCCCCAAATCTTACTTACCGGCAGCAGAATATAAATTCATTTTGGTAGAGTACAGAATGTTCTGTATTAGGAAAGTATTTCCAGCAGCACATACTTCGCTGCCACTTATCTGGAATATTTCTTTGTTTAGGGAAGATATTTTATTATATAACAACAACTTAGACATGTGAAATCTGCCTGGTATGTTACAAGTCTCCAGCCTAAGTGAATATGACCTTCTCTGGTAGGATACTGCAGCCATTTAGATTGACAGCTCATTTAAGTGAGGGAGACGTCCAAGAATGATTTCAGTTTGCTTTAGGCAGATGGATATTAATGAAGAAAAAGTACCTTGAAAGGATGCCATTCTGAGGAGGGCACCGGACAGCGGCATTGATTATAACCAGAGCTCCTTTTTTTCTGTGTTTCCAGAGCTAGAGTGCTGAGTGCTGCGCTGCTTAGTCTCTCTGTCATCCTTCTGAATTGGATAGGGGAGGGGCTGGTCTGGCAGGTTTTTCAGAAAATGCAGCTGGCATTGAAGAAACTCAGATTGGACTGGGTCTCTCTTTAGTAATCCTAATTGAAGAATTGTAAAGACTTGTGCTGGGAGTTTGTGTCTTCATTGGTGGCCCTTCCTGTACCTAGCACAGTTCTGGGAAGCCAACTTGTGGTCAATTAAATATATGTTGACTTATCAGTGATAAAAGCAAGGTAGAGACTGACCCAATTTGTGGGCATTACTTTCTTAGTAAAATAATAATAGAACGAAATTCTTTTACATGTTTCACCTTTATCATTTTTTATTTAAAACAATAAATTTCATTTGTTTATGTATTCACTGATCAAATATTTGACTGTCTCCTATATTCCAGGTACTATGGCCAAGTCTGGGTGGGTGGGTGGTTGGGTGTGTGTGTGTGTATATATACACACACAATATATATATACACACACACTATATATATATATAAATATAGTAGTGAACACAACAGACATGGCCCTATCCTCTAAACCTTGCTAAGAGAGACAAAAGTAAACAAAAATTATAAAAGAATTAATTGCCATCATAGTAGGTACACTGAAGAAAATATATGGGGATTTATGAAGTCATAGAACAAGAGAACTTAGCCTATCCCAGCAGGTTCAGGGAAAGCTTCCTGGAATAGATGAAATTTAATCTGATGCATGAAGGATGAGTGGGATTCATGAGGGAAAAAGGGGAGCGAGAATAGGAGGGCCAAAATGAATAACCCCCAGAGGGCTTCACAGGGCACCTGTAAACCAATATTTGATCACACTGTGTCAACCAGGACCAGAGCACATTGCTGGCTGTGATTTTCCTGATTATCTTTCTTGGAGGCTGAACCTGATATGGTTGCTGACCCTTCTGTTGTCTGCACATTTTGTCATGGCGTGGATCTTACTGTGAACATCTGCACTACGTTGATTTGTGTAATTTATTTGCTGAGACCATTCAACATTAATCTTGGAAAATGATCTTTTTCTTTGCAGTTCCAGCTGCTACTCTTCTTGCTGGATGTCTTAGTTGAGGGTTGGCCAGTAGTAACAGGTGGGCAAGATCAGCTCACCGCTGAGAGCTGAGGCAGCAGGTGTTTTGGTTCAAGCACAGGGTCTGGCTCTGGTTTCAAATGAAGTTGTGACTTAAGCACTCTTTGCCTTGGTTTTCTTATCTATAAAATGGGTATAATGACCATCTCATAAAGCAGGCTTGCTGTTGGTTTTGTTTTTTCCTCAAAAATGTAGTGCCACATTTAAGATCATCACATAATAAAGCAACCACAAAAGACCTAAAAAAAATCCCTGCAGTTTTAAAAAACGTTAGAAGAAAGGTTACTAGACCATAAGCAAGCTCCACATCAGGCTCTTTTTTCAAACATGGGTTTTAGCTGAATCATCTTGAACCTCCTGGGAGGTGGACCTTATATGTTTGGTAGGACCATTATCTGCACAGCTGAGGAGCTCACCTTGGCAGACTACAATCATTTAAAGCACTCATTTGAAGTATGGGTGTGATTTTGCTTGTGATGGTGAGTTAACAGCCAAACAGGGCTAACTTGTGTTTCTGGTTAGGAGGGAATGTTTCTAGGCAGCTTTTCCTGGTCCACAGAAGGTTTCTCTTTAGTGGTGAGATTGGAAATGCTTTACAGGGAAAAAAAAGATAAAGGTTGTGTAACATGATTGGTTATAAAACATGAACATCTTGGTAATACTACAAAGAGGAAATAAGTGGAAGTATTATCCCCGAAAAAAATTCATAGAACTTAAATACGTATTTCCATTAAAAAGTTGTCCTCCTCGTAAGCCAAATTATTTCATTCAAGTTTCATCCAGGGAACCAGAATACTTTTACTTTTGCTTCAGATTTGATTTGATTCACCGGCATTCTTGGTTCCCGAAATCATACCTCATTTTTTAGAAATACTTTCTTGATCTTTTTGTAGCTAACTCACTTAGTAAAGTATGCAAATTTTCCAAAATAACTAATAGATCATTTAACATAGAAAGCTTTAAATTATGTCTTAATTATGTCAATGTAAAAATAAAAGGTGGGTGGTTTGGTTTATATTGAAGTAAGTAGCATAAACAGAAATTTAATTAGTACCTTATTTTTAATATCGTACTTTGGCAAACCTTTCACAGTGATAAATGAAATTTTCCTTTTCATTGGGAAAAGCCAAGTTACTGTTGTTTTTGGTTATATAGTTGCATTCCTTCAGGCTGGTAACAGTGTAAGCTAAAGACAAATTGTAAGAGATACTTGCCTCAAGATATTTATATCCTAGAATTATAACGGCCTTATGGTTTCTTCTTTTTTCAATTTTCTTTCTTTTTTTTTTTTTGAGACGGAGTCTCGCTCTGTCGCCCAGGCTAGAGTGCAGTGGCGCAATCTCGGCTCACTGCAAGCTCCACCTCCTGGGTTCACGCCATTCTCCTGCCGCAGCCTCCCGAGTAGCTGGGACTACAGGCGTCTGCCACCACCCCCGGCTAATTTTTTGTATTTTAAGTAGAGATGAGGTTTCACTGTGTTAGCCAGGATGGTCTCGATCTCCTGACCTTGTGATCCACCTACCTCGGCCTCCCAAAGTGCTGGGATTACAGGCGTGAGCCACCGTGCCCGGCCTTTCAATTTTCTTTAAACAATTTTCTTTACATTTGCATTACAAAACAGTTGGAGTTAAATGACAAATATTTCACATTTCTATGAAAAACAGCTAGAAATCAAATAGTCTTAACTATATAGTACCTAGAATTCCAGTTCCTCTGAATTTTCACAGATGTGTATTTTTAGCTGTCCATTAGACATCTCCAAGGCAAAATTAAATGGAGCTCTTCCTGCTGCTTCTCCCTGTTCCTAAATCTCTGTCTTCATTAATGGTTTAAGAACCCACTTTATTGACCGGGTGGAAACCTTGACCAGAAATCTCAGCATCTTCCTTGACTTCCCATCTAATGCGTTTCTTGAGTCTATTAATTTTATCTCCAGATTGTTACCCTATGCTGGGTCCTCTTGATTTCCCACTACCAGGCTTTATTGTCAGCTTGCCCAGATTAGCCACCTAACCGGCCTGCTTGCCATCTGTTCCTCCCTACTAGTAATCCATCCTTGCTCTGCTCCAGTTTTCTCGGATTGAGTGATTTATTGGCTTCCACACCTCCAGTGGTTTCTTATTGTCTACAGATTAATTGTAAACTTCCCAGCATGCAGTATAACCTTTGCAATCAAGCTCAGCCCTGCTCTGCAGTCTTCTTTCTGTGCCCTTGTTCCTCCTGGAGTGGAGTCTGTACCTCAGCTCCACTGAACTTCCCAGTTTCCCCAACCAGACCCACGTTGCTTCCACTGCCCATTGTGCTTTGCTCCCCTGCTCCCGTCATGTCATCCTTCGCACTGATAATCCAGCTTACACGTGTCCTTACCTGTGTTTACCACGAGAGTGGTCACTCTGCCCTCTGGAGTTTTCTTTGTAGGCCTCTTTGGTTTTTTACTCACCATACTTCTGACACCAAATGTGTGAATTTTTTTTTTATACCAACTGACTCTCTAACCCTTGAGACACCAATTGTGTGTCCTACAGTTCCGGTCCTACAATTTAAGTTCCTACATTAACCACCCTGAGTTTGCATCACACTCCACAGGTTTAAGGTTTCAGCCCACAAAACTGCCCTCATTTAAGACGGCAGATGCAAGTATTGGGTCCCCAGGTTACCCACACTTCTCTTCTACTTGGCTACAAAGTTGTGGGGGGATTTCCACAATCCACCCCTATTTCAGGCCCTGATGATTTGCTAAAATGGCTCACAGAACTCAGGAAGGTACTCTACAATTTCTGCTTTATTATATAGGGTACGACTCAAGAACAGCCAAATACAAGGATTGTTACAGGGCAAGGCTGGAGGGGGTGCAGGTACTGCAGACCACCTAGTCCCTCTCAGGGCCTGCTACTCTCCCAGCACCTCAAGGTGTTCATCAACCCTCCCTAACCCCATCAGTTAAGGGTTATTGTGGAGGCTCCATTACATAGGCACTATTGATTAAATCATTGTTCCTTGGCAATTGAACTCAAACTCTTCTCTTCTTATGACTGGAGATAGGCAGGCATGGCTGAAAGTTCCAGCTCTGCAATCATGCCTTGGTCTTTCTGGCATGCTGAGAGCCATGCTGAAGCTATCTAAGGGTCCCCAGCTACCAGTCATCTCACTGGCATACAAAAGACACTCCTGTCACTGGAGATTCCAGGTATTTCAAGGAGCTGTGTTCCAAGGACCAGGGATGAAGACCAAATACTTATTATTACCACACCTGTGTTATAGATCCTGTATTGTAATTGGCTGCATGCCTCCCATCAACCGCTCCACTGTGAGTGTTGGGAGGGAAAGGATCATTTCTTACTAAATTTTGTTTAATGAGCTAACCTCTCCTTGGCATATAATTCAGCTTCTTCTGTTTTGGTTCAAGTATTATGCTACCGTTTCTCTACACACACTTAGACACACACACACACACACACACACACACACACACACACCCCTATACACATACTATTGTACAGTCAGTGTGGTTAAAATTCCACTGATAGGAATATACCCCAGAGACTTGAAAACAGACACAAGAATAGATATTCGTATGCAGATGTTCATAGCAGCATTATTCCAGGTAGCCAAAAACTGGAAACTACTCAAGTCTCCATCAGCAGATGAATGGATAAACAATTGCTATCTATATGACATATATAATGATATATATCATATGTGTATTATAGATATATACACTTGTATGTGTATATCTATTTAGGTGACCCTAAATTGCTATCTATTTATACACTAAATCTGGTAACCCTGGCCGGGTGCAGTGGCTCACACCTGTAATCCCAACACTTCGGGAAGCCAAGGTGGGTAGATCAGTTGAGGTCAGGAGTTAGAGACCAGCCTGGCCGATATGGTGAAACCCCGTCTCTACTAAAAAACATAAAAATTAGCCAGGCATGGTGGCACATGCCTGTAATCCCAGCTACTCAGGAGGCTGAGGCAGGAGAATCACTTGATCCCGGGAGGCAGAAGTTGCAGTGAGGTGAGATAATGCCAGTGCACTCCAGCCTGGGTGACAGAGTGAGGCCCTTTCTCAGAAGAAAGAAAGAAAGAGGGAAAGGGAGGGAGGGATTTAAATATCATGTATATTATCAGATTTAAAATAATGTGATTGTTTTTATTTTGAGAAAAAAACATATACTGTTAGATTTATTTCAGACTTTTTTTTTTTTTTTTTTTTTTTTTTTTTGAGACGGAGTCTCTGTCGCCAGGCTGGAGTCCAGTGGCGTGATCTCGGCTCACTGCAACCTCCGCCTCCTGGGTTCAAGCGATTCTCTTGCCTCAGCCTCCTGAGTAGATGGGACTACAGCTGCGTGCCACCACACCTGTCTAATTTTTGTATTTTTAGGAGAGACGGCGTTTCACCATGTTGGCCAGGATGGTCTCGATCCCTTCAACTCATAATCCACCCGCTTCGGCCTCCCAGAGTGCTGGGATTACACATGTGAGCCACCACACCTCCTGGCCTCAGACTTATTTTTTAAGCATTTATTTAGGTGTTTTGCTCATGTATTTTTCCATACAATAAAATATATAAGCATTCACTCCCCTTCCCATAAAGAATTCTTGAAAAATAATGAAATATGTTTAGTCTAAAGTACCTGAAGGCAGAGCAGATCAATGTTTGAAGCCAAACACTTGAAGCAATAACTTGATTTTTTTTTTTTTTTTTTTTGGTTTTGTCTTGTCTTGAACTCCTGGCCTCAAGTGATCTTCCTGCCTCAGCCTCCCAAAGTGCTGAGATTATAGGCGTGAGCCACAATGCTCATCCTCAAGGAGGTGTTAATATGATAGATTTAAACTTAGATAAAATTTTTATAGATTTTAAAAATATTTTTTAGTTGGTACTGTGTACTGTTGAATTTTCAAACCCCGTGTAATAACATTACATGAGGCTAATCTGTTATCTGTTAGAGTGTATGAAAGAAGTGTTAATTTTTTTTTCCCTTTGGTTTTTCAGGTTCTTTATAGAGTTGGAAGCAAGACATCAGAATAATATCTTCATAGATGACATAAGTGACATTGTGGAAAAACACACAGCATCCACATTTGACCCATATGTGAAATACTGCACAAATGAAGTCTACCAACAACGAACACTACAAAAATTGTTGTAAGCAATGTCGAATGCTACAGTTTTAATCATCTAACCTAGTTTTAATTAGGCTACATTGACTGAAATTAATTGATCTTTTGAATTATATTTAGAAATGCCTCCTGATAGGCTATTTCCCAGAGGAGAAATGTTTAAGAGCATTACTTTTAGGGTGAGGGTGTTTAAGTAGAAAAATCTAGTGTGTAGAGAATTTTCTCTCTTACGAAATTATAGCTTGTTATTGATGTCCTTGTTTAGTGTTTCGTTGTTTTTAATTGTTGCAGGAAACAGAGGTGGTCCTCACTCTAAACCCGCAGTTTTCTAAGCTTTTTACTGGCAATTAAGTGGTTTTCCTGAGGCTTAGAGGGGATTCTTGAGTAGATTGAGCTAAAAGCTAAGATTCAGAGTTTTCTCTACTATTCTGATCTCCCTCCATTCAATTGACAACGATAATAAATTGTTCATAAAAATTGCTGATTATTCCCCCCACTTGGGTAGTTAGAGTTGAAGAGAGGAGGGAAGTTCTGAAGGAAAGCAGTAGAAAAAAGTAATGTTCTTAAAGATTTCAGTTATGCAGCAAAAGAGTTAAGCATTAGATTTCCTGCCACATCTTTTCTTTTTGTCCTTTTTAGGTTACTGAGAGTTTTGATGTGATGCATATGCCATCTGTGTCCTTAAAAGAGTCACCAATTGTTCAGTAATGCCTATATGTATTTTAAAGAGTCCTGTTTATCACAAGTAGCTGTTTTACAGCACAGTTGTGCACTGCTGTAAACCCAGTTTGGGAGCTTAATGGCTGTTATCGTTCTCACCCCCTCCTGTGAGTTGTGGCATTTATGACCACGGCATGGAGCTTCGGTCAACTTCTGTGCAATATGTGAGACCCCTATGGAGGAGTAGGGGTTGAGGATGACTAACTTATGGCTGCTTGGAGAAATAGTCAAAGCCTCTAAGCTGATGAGAAGGGCTGATGATGGCCCCCTTTTTCCTCCACATCTTCATGACATTTTCATATAGCCAGGGTGGAAAACACACAGCTGCTAACCCCAATGAGATTTTTAGTATAAAGCAGGGTTTGTTCGCACAATTGACATTTTGGACTGGATAAGTCTTTGTGGTGGGCTGTCCTATGCATTTTAAGATGCTTAAGGGCATCCCTGGCTTCCATCTGCTAGATGCCAAAAATCTCCCCAGACATTGCAGAAGGTCCCCTGAGGGTAAAACCACACCCATCACTTCCTCACTCCACCACGCCCTGGTGGGAACCGCTGCTATAGGAACAGAGGTTCTCTGTAACTGTTAGAGAATGCAAGTTCATGTCTGAAAACAAAGCCTTGAATTAGAGATAAATTTGGGTTTCATTTTGTTTTGCAGGATTTATAAAATGTCACTAGGTACTGCTATACATCATGTGACTCTTAAAGGTTTTATCTAAATTAGCTTAATGATAACATCATCAGCACTTTCACGTGGCAATTAGTAGTGTTTTCAGGGGATTTGTTGCAGTTGATGTGATTTTTTTTTTTTTTTTTTTTTGAGATGGAGTCTCACTCTGTCACCCAGGCTGGAGTGCAGTGGCGCAATCTTGGGTCACTGCAACTTCTGCATCCCAGGTTCAAGCGATTCTCCTGCCTCAGCCTCCCGTGTAGCTGGGACTACAAGTGCATGCCACCACACCCAGTTAATTTTTTGTATTTTTAGTAGAGACTGGGTTTCACCGTATTAGCCAGGATGGTCTTGATCTCCTGACCTCGTGATCCACCTGTCTCTGCCTCCCAAAGTGCTGGGATTACACGCGTAAGCCACTGCGCCCAGCCCGCAGTTTATGTGAATTTAAGGTTAGAACAGTGGCTTTCAATTCTAGCTGCATGTTAGAAATGCCTTGGGGCCTGAAAATGAGCAAATGTACACTGTCCAGAGTCCATCCCAGACTATTTAATCAGAACCTTTGGAAGGTGAGGGAGGGGACTGGGACCTGAGTTATTTAAATATACAACTAATTTAGAGGTTTTTGTTTTTTTTTTTTAACTTTCTAAAAATCTTGTCAAAACTATCAGTAAAAGGAAACTTAAAACTTCTCAATTAGAGAAAATGGAAATGAATTGTTTCTGTATAATTTCTTTTCATTTGCTATTCTGGCATTCTCCCCCTCCCTGCTTTTAGTAGCAGCCTTGAACAAGAATATTTAATTTTCAAAATAACATTTTTTTTAAAAAAAATGACTGCTATTGTCACTATCCTGCTTCCTTCTCCCTTCATGGGAGTACAATATCCATCTACCTCCTACCCTCCTTGCCTTGGAAAGTGGCAGTGGAACTCTACAGAGCTCCTCATGGGATGAAGTGAGGTAAGAGAGTGAGAAATGGGGGGACAAGAGTGTCAGATTTAACATTAGAAAACTTGGGTTTGAGGCCAGGCACAGTGGCTCACGCCTGTAATCCCACCACTTTGGGAGGCCGAGGCAGGTGGATTACTTGAGGCCAGGAGTTCGAGACTACCCTGGCCAACATGAAACCTTTTCTCTACTAAAGATACAAAAATTAGCTGGGCGTCATGGCACACACCTGTAATCCCAGTTACTTGTGAGGCTGAGGCATAGAATTGCTTGAACCTGGGAGGCAGAGGCTGCAGTGAGCCGAGATTGTGCCATTGCACTCCAGCCTAGGTGATAGAGCAAGACTCCATCTCAAAACAAACAAACAAACAAACAAACCTGGGTTTGACTTCTGTCTTTGGCAGTTACTAAGTCATATTTACTTGGTGAGGTAGGGACCTTTCTGCATTCCATTTTCTTACTGGAATCCCTATCTGGCCTTCCTTAAAAGTTACGTAGGTGGTTCCACATGAAAGAATGTATGTCACAGTATCTCGCTAAGTTTCATTAAAATGTTATAGCAGCATTAATACTTTTCTTGCATTAACAGGAGAAAAAGAGGAATATTTCGACTGATGTGATGAAAAGGTTTTCTGTCTCAGAAAGAGGATCTTTGTGGCCTAAAGCCTCTGAAGTCCAGTCTAACTGTTAATTTCTTATGCCATTGTCTAGGGCTGGAGAAGTGGCTTAAAACATATTATTTATGATCTTATTAATGATATATGTTTATAGATGATCGGATATAAAAGACCTAGTCTGTATACTGATTTATGACCCATATATTCACCATTATGATACCACAGCTTCTTCATTTGCTTACCTTCCACTTGTATAAATTTCTAGCTCCTACATGTTTTGCCTTATTGTTAATACTGTTATGTGAAATCCACATCTTATTATATTCAGCCTTGAATATAAAAGGCAGACAAGCCATTCGTATTTGCCAGTGTAATTATGTGCTTATGATATTTTCATACAGTTTAAAATAGTTGATGCTATATGGATTTATCACAGTATTTTGTAATACATTTTTACTTGCTGCTTAATTTGAGGAGGAAATATTTTGAAGTTTCTCTTTTCTTTGTTTTCCCTCAGAGCTACCAATCCATCCTTTAAGGAAGTATTGTCAAGGATTGAGTCCCATGAAGACTGTAGGAACTTACCCATGATCTCTTTTCTCATTCTCCCCATGCAGAGGGTGACCCGCCTTCCCCTGCTGATGGATGTAAGACATGACGGTGGCTTTTTCCTCTGTGGATAGCTGTGCTTCTCTAAATCTGATTTAGAAAATTATTATTATTCCACTTAAATTGATGCATATTTAAAGGTCTAAAAATCCCCCAATTAAGTGAGAAGGTGTTGTTTGTTCAGAAAGTCTCACCTGTATCTGATATCTCTGGAAATTATCTTTCATTTAGGCTTCTATGGTCATTCTGAAGAAATTGGATCTCATCACCCACTTACTCAGCATTTTTTGAAATAGGAAGAGTTGTGGCTTCTTTATGTCAGGAGGCCTGGATTCCAATTCTAGCTAAGCCATTAGGCATGTGACCTTGAGCAACTCAGTCTCTTTGGGCCTAAGATTCCTCAGACTGATCACTGAGATCCCTTCATCTATAATGTTCCAAGGTGCCCTGGGCCTTCCATTTCATACAGGAATGAGAGTCTCTTCAGCATGACAAGGCATAGTACTGCCTGTATTATGCATTGTGCGAAGTGAGTGAGGAAAGCCCAGCTTCCTTCTTGTGTTAGGCAGCATTCATGAGGAAAGCAAGTGTTTTTGACTTTGAATCACGGCAAGACATGACTGGGAAAAGTGAGTAGAGTCTGCCTAGTAGTACGTGCAGCTGGAAAGACAGGTAGGCTATGGGCAGGAGAGCCTGCCACTGGCTGCACTGGAGCTGCTGGGGCAGCAAAAGAGAAAAGTGGGGTGGCTCGACACAGGTGCCATTCTAGCAGTGGACCACAGAGTGTCTTTTTGATCTAATTAGAAAATATTTTGTTACGATTTTCCTACTTTAAAATTGGATCATAATGTTGATATAAGGTCAACTTTTTACATACCTGATTTTGACTAATCAAAACAAAGTAAAATATATATTAAAAATTATGATTAAGGTTACAAAGTAAATTTCACATTCTGTATCCCATTGTAAATTCTAAAATACATTCTTTAAAAATGCTGAAATTTTGAAATGTGTAAAAGCATGGAATCATGAGCATTTAGCTGACTGCTGCAGTTTTGGAGACGTTTTGTCAGGTATTTCAGGATTCATAGCACCTTGTGCTCCTCAAGTTTACTTCGATCTACTGCCTTTACACCTTCTCCACCCATCACCTGTAATTCAGGAACTTCCCCCCTGTGTACATATTGGGAAGCTTGCAGTTTTGAACATTTCACTTTCTGATTTTTTTTTGAGATCAGTATTTATCATGTTTAAAGATAGAATGTGGCTAAGTTATCAGAATCGAATTTTTGCTTAAGAAGGAAACTTTGGTCCATATAAGGAAGTATTATTTCAAACATGACTATTTTTTTAAGCAAGAAGTGAATGCCTTGTAAATACAACATTTCTTGTAATATTAGACTTTTGAATTTTCAGGGTTTTCTTCTTCTGAAAATGCATTTTATTCCTCTTTGAGAATTGAAATAAAAGAACAAAAATAAATAAAATGCATTTTAAACATGTTTTCCAGATTTTATATATGCTGTGATGGCCAAGCCTTTTATATCCTCTTTAAATTTGAGAAAATTACTTGTATGGAATGGGACTCTAAAATCTAACACATTATGTTATACAGTGTTGGAGATTCATGCCATGATTGCTCAGTAGGCTTTAAACTTTTTTTAAGCCACAGACCCCCCCTTGAGATTCTGAGTAAAGCTATAGCTTTTCTTCCCAGAGAATATGTGTATGCACAAAATTTTACATAAAATATCAATATATGGAATCCAGCTAAGGATGCCTGCTCTCAGGGACATAAACCAGTATTTTTCATGCTGCTTTCATATCCATTAGTGGGCCATAAAACTGATTTTTGAATTATGAGCATATGTACGTTGCTCATAAAGTGGTTAAATATTGTTTCATAAAATCCTGGTTCATTTATGTGTGCATGTGTGCTGGTTGCAGTGTAAAAGTATTTCTTACAGTGAGTCATAGTCAAAAAATATAAGAACCTCCACAGATGGTGCACTCTGTGTTTCTCACATAGCAGATAGTTAAAAATCTTGATGCCTGACTTTCAGATGGCTTGGCTTGGTGCTTCTGTACATTTAAGGGACCAGTGACTTGCTAGTAGCCAACTACTTTCTACCTCTGCCTGATGCCTGTTGCTCTAATCTGTTTCTCGTGTGGAAATCTGGCCATTTAGGCAGAATGTAAATGTATTTAAAATAGTGTCTCTTCAATTTTACCTCATTTGGAAATTCAGTTAAGCTTGTTCATTAAAATAAACACTTTCAGTAATTAAAGTGGTTCCCTGGGCTTTGAATGTGTGTGTATAGCTTTAAAGTTATATGTAATTAAATTTACCGTGAATTGACCCTGTTTGACCTGATTTTCCTATCACAAATGAAATTTCTCAGTATAAATATATCAACAGAAAACCTAGCAGGCTTTTTTTCCTTTGCTGGTTTTTTTGGGTTTTTTTTTGACTGTTTTTTCTTTGAGATGCTGTCACCCAGGAGTGCAATGGTGCGATCTCGGCTCGCTGCAACCTCCACCTCCCAGGCTCAAGTGACCCTCCCACCTTAGCCTCCTGAGTAGCTGGGACCACAGGTGCACACCACCATGCCTGGCTAATTTTCTTTTAGTATTTTTGTAGAGATGGGGTTTTTCCATATTGCCCTGGCTCCTGGACTCAAGTATTCTGCCTGCCTTGGCTTTCCAAAGTGCTGGGATTACAGACATGAGCCACTGTGCCTGGCTGTTCTTTTTATTCAAAATGTATCATCTATAAATATAATTGCCTCTAATAATAATGATTATAATGGTGATAATTAAAGTAACTCTTATTTATTGAGGGCATACCCTATGCCAGGCACTAATAAAGAACTTTACATAAATTATCATTAACACTTCTAACAACCTTGTGATGTAGCTGGCATCACCCCAGTTTTACAGATGAGGAAAGAGAGGCTTATAAAGATAGAGTTAGTGACTTGCTCAAGATTTGATAACTAGTAAGGGCAGACCTGGGATTTGAAACCAGGGTTACCCACCTCTGAATTCTATCTTTCTTAACCATTCCCTGGATGGACTTGGATCCTGTGTTTAAAGATTATTTCCTGGTTTTTAAATTGGGTTTTAATATTATCCTCATACTCATCCGTAATATCGTGTTTGGCATTGTTTGCTATGAGTAAAAGGATATGGCTGGACATTGGTTTTATTTTACTTAATAAAATAGATCAATAAATTTTGTTCACTTTTATTTCATTACAGACTATCTGTCAAAAAACACCTAAGGACTCTCCGAAGTATGAAGTCTGCAAAAGAGCCTTGAAGGAAGTTAGCAAGGTAACTGTTGGGTGACAGTTTGTTTGTAAGACAGGAAACCATTCAGTTAGCTCAGACACAAAGTGTGTCTTGGCTTGATGCTGAAAACTGGTAGAGTCTCACAGCCATTTGTACAGCGTTCTTTAGGTAGTTGCAAAACAAAATCATATTTGCTATACTCAGGTGAAGTTGGTATTTTTACTGTTTCAGACAGTTTTGTTTTAAGAGCCTACAGATACCTCATTTTCTTTTGGTGGCTGAATAGCTGTTTATTCATTTCTCGTTCAGTAAATGTTTATTGAGTATCAACCACTGTGCCAAGAATGATGCCAGTTCTTGGAAATGCAGTGATGAGTGAGGCACGTGTAGTCACTGTGCTCGTGGAATGTGCAGTGGAAAGAGGAGGGCAGACATTAAACAGAGTTACAATGAAGGGTAGTGGGTGATGTGATAGGGAAGTCCACAGTGGTGTCTAAGCTGAGACCTAACACAGGAGTGGCTGTGAGCCCAGGATTGGGGGAAGAGAGTGTCTCAGGTATGTGTAGAGGTCCAAAGGCAAGAAAATATTGGAGATTTTGAAGAACTGGAATGTTCTCCATGTGGCTAGGATGCAATCTGAGAGACAGCACTAGGGAACCAGCTGTGTGGGGCCTTGTTATACATGCTAGGCTGTTGGGGGCCTGATCGTAAGATGATGTAGAGGCTAAATTCATGTATTATGAAGATGATAGTGGTGATGGGGCCAGTTCTGAGGCCAGTGATAGTTGATTAGGCAAGGGATGGCAGTGGCCCCTATTGACATGATGGTAAGGTGGTGAGAAGTCTACCTGTATACTGGGGAGGCAGACTTGGAAACTGATTGGGTGAGCACATTTCAGGACAGAAGTCAAGGAATATTGTCTGTGGCTTGGGCAGCAAGGTAGATGCTCTTCCTTCATCTACGATAGAAACATAGGGAGAGTGGATAAGTTCCATTTGGGTTGTGTTGTCATTGAGATTCCTATAGAACGTCCAAGTTGGCTAAATAAACAAATCAGAAGCTCAGAGAGGAGACCTGAACTGGAGACATGGATTTGGGAATCATCAGCATATGGACAATAGTTGAAGCTGGGTGAGTGGATGAGGTTACTTAGGGAGACTGGAATGAGAAGGGCAGTGAGCCTGAGGAATGACCATGAGGAATGCTAGCATTCATAGTCTTATTAGGGAAAATGAGCCAGTGGAGAAAACTAAAAAGAACAAAACAAAGTAAAACATACCAGGGAAGAGGAAGGAAAACCGTAATAGCTTGGCAAATGGCAGTTAATTTGGTGGTTAACTCTGTTGAATGCTTCTGAAAGATAAAGTGGGATAATGATTGAAGTTATCCTTAGGTTTATCATCAGTAGGTTGTATACTGGGGTTGGGGGGCGGGGATAGGGAACCTGAGCTGAGTGTATTGAGAAATGAGAGGGAGGTGTGAATATGCAGCCAGCCAGCAGTGGTAGCTAACTGTCTAAATTCAGGGAGTAGAAAGAGAAAGAGCTGTAGCTGAAAGGGAAGTGAGAGAGGGTCTTCGTTAGTGTATTTGTTTAAAGATTAGAAAAATGTAGGTAGGGTTAGCTACTGATAGAAATATCTAGCTGAGAGGAAGCAATAGAAGGTGTAGGTGTCACTGAGGATACTGTATGAGGTTGGCACAGAGGAGCAAAGATAATGGTAGCATCAGAAGCTTCCTAAATGTCTCCAGTTACATAGCCCTATATGAATTGGGTATGGCTTTGTACCACTTTGCTATGAAGTACTGTTTCTTTTAGTCAATTTACATCGAGTCACCATTTTACTTACCCTCTTCCTTGCCAATAATATTTACAAAATCATGGGTTTTATTAGTTGTTTATTTTTCTAACATTTTTGTAGTAAAAGTAAGTGTATCTGTGAGCCACTTAAATTCATCTCTTCATCCCATCAGTGGTCTGCACACCTATTTTGGGAACAGTAAGTAAAGAAAGCCTGACAAGTGAGAAGTTACCTAAGGTACTATTGCCAGTGGTGCTTCCTCCAAGACCTCAAGTCCTGTGCTGCTTTCCTAGAGGAGGAACTGGGGAGGGAAACGGGGGAAGGTTTTTAGGAGAAACTACTAGAGAAGTTCTAGTCTTGGACATAAATGGGATTTTGACAAATTTTGCCTGGTTGTTACTAAGAAATTGAAAAAAAAAAAGAATTTGCACAGAGAAAAAAATAGGAAGGTACTAGTAGTTGGTTGTTGAATTAAACCTGGAATGTTACTTAATTTTTTTCAAGAATTTTACATCTCAGTTACAGTAGATTACTACATTCCTTCAGGCATCTCTTGTTCACTTGATTTCATACTGATACTTTCAGGAAAGGCTGGCAAAAATGTAATAGACCAGTGAGTTGCTTTACCTTGATACTGTAAGTATACAAAAAGCTATCATGTGAAGAGATGTCATTCCAGTGACTTGCTTTCTCTGAAGGGCATCATTCCTTTCTCTCTATTGAGCATGAATCATGAATATTAGAAATATTCCTTCAGTCTCCCAGCGTTACAGGGAAACTGAAATCGTTGATATAGTCAGCTCAATAATTAATCTTCTTTTTTATTTGTAAAGGTTACTGATGAGGTTTTATAGAATCTGGGAAAACAATATGAATATTTTCAGCAGAAAGAGTATGCATAGAGAGCATTTATGGTTTAGAATGAAAATGTAGAACTACACTTGTTTGCTTTATCAGAGAAATTGGGAGTTCCCAATATTTTATTTTAGAGAGTTAAATTTGGTATGTTGAGGCCCAAGGTTTAGAACCAGATGCTGCCTTAATGTCTTGGGTAAGTCTCTCTAGGTAGTTACTCATTCTTGGAAAAAAAGAGTCATACCATTTTGGTAGTTAAAATAATGCAGTTTATTTGCAAGATGCGAATAATACTTCGCTGAAATTGCTCATGCATGTTGCCTTAAAGACTGTGACAATTTCTTTAATTTAGGGCCTTGGAAAGACTTACTGACCTAATCAAACAACTCAAAAACAAGAACAACATTTCTATAAAATGAAAATGTGCTTACCTCCTGATTTTCTGTTAACATGCTGGGGGGAGAAATTCTAGGGAATCTGATAATTTCCATAGGAATCTGGTAATTCAGCTCATCTAGAGTGATGTGTACCATGTAAGGAATAGTGATCAAGAGATGGTCTTATGCCAAATGAATCTTCCCTGTTATTTCCTTCTGTTTACTCTCCCATGGAAAGAGAATGTCTGCTTTAACTCTGACCTCATCAAAATTCCGTTTAGAGTTGGAGATAGTGTTACATTATGAGCCTTTCTCCCAGAGGCAAAATAGTCAAGCTCTATTTAATCTTTTCGTATAACGTATTGCTTCAGCCATTTACAAAGAAGTACATGTGTATGACAAATGGCCAACAAACGTGAAAAAATGCTCAGCATCACTAACTATAAAGGCAAATTAAAACCACAATGAGGTACCACCTTACTCCTGCAAAAATGGCCATAATTCAAAAATAAAAAATAGTAGATGTTGGCATGGATGTGGTGAAAAGGAAACACTTTTACCCTGATGGTGGGAATGTAAACTAGTACAACCAATATGGAAAACAGTATGGAGATTCCTTAAAGAACTAAAAGTAGAGCTACCATTCAATCCAGCAATCCCACTACTGGATATCTACCCAAAAGAAAAGAAGTCATTATGTGAAAAAGACACTTGCACACTCATGTTTATAGCAGCACAATTTGCAGTTGCAAAAATATGGAACTAATCCAAATGTCCATCAACCAATGAATGGGTAAAGGAAATGTGGCATATATACACCATGGAATACTACTCAGTTGTAAAAAGAAACAAAATAATGGCATTTGCAGCAACTTGGATGGAGTTGGAGACCGTTATTCTAAGTGAAGTAATTCAGGAATGGAAAACCAAATATCATGTGTTCTGACTTATAAGTGGGAGCTAAGCTATGAGGATGCAAAGGCATAAGAATGATATTATGGACTATGGGGACTTGGGGAGAAGGGGGAAAAGGGCTTGGGATAAAAGAGTACACATTGGGCACAGTGTACACTGCTCAGGTGATGGGTACACCAAAATCTCCTAAATCACCACTAAAGAACTTCTCCATGGAATCAAAAACTACCTGCTCCCTGAAAAGTATTGAAATAAATTTTTTTATAGATAAGTAGATACAAAAGTATTTTTATTATTTTATTAATTTTGTGGGTACATAGTAGGTACATATATTTATGAGGTACATGAGATGTTTTGATATAGGCATGCAGTGTGAAATAAGCACATCATGGAGAATGGGGTATCCATCCCCTCAAGCATTTATCCTTTGAGTTAAAAATAATTCAGTTAAACTCTTTATTTTAAAATGTAGGGGGTTATTATTGACTGTAGTCACCCTGTTGTGCTATCACATAGATCATATAGTAGGTCTTGTTCATTTTATTTTTTTTTTATACCCATTAACCATCCCCACCTCCTCCCCAGCCCCCGACTACCCTTCCTAGCCTCTGGTAAGCATCATTCTACTCTCTATGTCCATGAGTTCATTTTTAAAAAAAATTTTTAAATCCCAAAAATGAGAACATGTAATGTTTGTCTTTCTGTGTCTGGCTTATTTCATTTAACATAATGACCTCCAGTTCCAGCCGTGTTGTTGCAAATGACTAGATATCATTCTTTTTCATGGCTGCATGATACTCCATTGTGTGTATGTACTACATTTTCTTCATTCTTTCATCTACTGATGGACATTTAGGTTGCTTCCAGATCTTAGCTATTGTAAACAGTGCTGCAGCCAACATAGAAGGGCAGATATCTCTTTGATATACTACTTTCCTTTATTTTGGGTATATACCCAGCAGTAGGATTTCTGAATCATATGGTAATCAATTTTTAGTTTTTTAAGGAACCTCCAAACTGTTCTCCATAGTGGTTGTACTAATTTACATGCCCACCATCAGTGTATGAGGGTTCTCTTTTCTCCACATCCTTGCCAGCATTTGTTATTGCCTGTCTTTTGGATATAAACCATTTTAACTGGAATAAGATGATATCTCATTGTAGTTTTGATTTGCATCTCGCTAATGATCAGTGATGTTGACCTTTTCATATGCCTGTTTGCCATTTGTATGTCTTTTGAGAAATGTCTATTCAAATCTTTGCCCATTTTTGATTGGATTATTAGATTTTTTTTCTATAGAGTTATTTGAGCTCCTTATGTATTCTGGTTATTAATCCCTTGTCAGATGGCTAGCTTGCACATATTTTCCTTCTATTCTGGGGGTTGTCTCTTCCCTTTGTTGACTCTATACTTTGCTCTGCAGAAGCCTTTTAACTTGTTGTGATCCCATTTGTCCATTTTTGCTTTGGCTGCCTGTGGTTGTAGGGTATTTTTCAAGGAATTTTTGCCCAGACCAATGTGCTGGAGATTCTCCCCAATATTTTCTTGTAGTACTTTTATAGTTTGAGGTCTTAGATTTAAGTATTTACTCCATTTTGATTTGATTTTTGTATATGGTAAGAGATAGGGGTATAGTTTTATTCTTCTGCATATGGATATTCAGTTTTCTCAGCACCATTTATTAAAGAGACTGTCTTTTCCTCAGTGTATGTTTTTGGCACTTTTGTCATAAATGAGTTCACTGTAGGTGTGTGGATTTGTTTCTAAGTTCTTTTTTCTGCTCCACTGGCCTATGTGTCTGTTTTTATGCCAGTACCATGCTGTCTTGGTTATTATCGCTCTGTAATATAATTTGAAGTCAGGTAAAGTCATTCTTCCAATTTTGTTCTTTTTGCTTAGGACAGCTTTGGCTATTCTGGGTCTTTTGTGGTTTCATATACATTTTAGGATTTTTTATATTTTTGTAAAGAATGTCATTGGTATTTTGTTAGGATTTACATTGAATCTGTAGAATTCTTTGGGTAGTATGGACTTTTTAATAATTTTAATTTAATAATTTAATTTAATAATTTTAATAATATTGATTCTTCCAATCCATGAACATGGAATATTTTTTAATTTTTTAGTGTCTTCTTCAATTTCTTTTATCAGTGTTTCATAGTTTTTCTTATAGAGATCTTTCACTTCTTTGGTTAATTCCTAAGTACTTAATTTTACATGTGGCTATTGTAAATGAGATTACTTTTTAATTTCTTTTTCACATTGTTCACTGTTGGCATATAGAAATGCTACTGATTTTTGTATGTTGATTTTGTATCCTGCAACTTTACTGAATTTGTTTATTCTGATAGTTTTTATTTTGTGGAGATCAAATATAAGATTTTTTTTTATTATACTTTAAGTTTTAGGGTACATGTGCACAAGGTGCAGGTTTGTTACGTATGTGTATAAATGTGCCATGTTGGTGTGCTGCACCCATTAACTCTTCATTTAATATTAGGTTTATCTCCTAATGCTATCCCTGCCCCCTCCCCCGACCCCACCACAGGCCCCAGTGTGTGATGTTCCCCTTCATGTGTCCATGTGTTCTCATTGTTCAATTCCCACCTAAGAGTGAGAACATGAAGTGTTTGGTTTTTTGTCCTTGAGATAGTTTGCTGAGAATGATGGTTTCCAGCTTCATCCATGTCCCTACAAAGGACATGAACTCATCATTTTTTATGGCTGCATGGTATTCCATGGTGTATATGTGCCACATTTTCTTAATCCAGTCTATCATTGTTGGACATTTGGGTTGGTTCCAAGTCTTTGCTATTGTGAATAGTGCCACAATAAACATACATGTGCATGTGTCTTTATAGCAGCATGTTTTATAATCCTTTGGGTATATACCCAGTAATGGGATGGCTGGGTCAAATGAAATTTCTAGTTCTAGATCCCTGAGGAATCGCCACACTGACTTCCACAATGGTTGAACTAGTTTACAGTCCCACCAACAGTGTAAAAGTGTTCCTATTTCTCCACATCCTCTCCAGCACCTGTTGTTTCCTGACTTTTTAATGATTGCCATTCTAACTGGTGTGAGATGGTATCTCATTGTGGTTTTGATTTGCATTTCTCTGATAGCCAGTGATGATGAGCATTTTTTCATGTGTCTTTTGGCTGCATTAATGTCTTCTTTTGAGAAGTATCTGTTCATATCCTTCACCCACTTGTTGATGGGGTTGTTTGTTTTTTTCTTGTAAATTTGTTTGAGTTCATTGTAGATTCTGGATATTAGCCCTTTGTCAGATGAGTAGGTTGCGAAAATTTTCTCCCATTTTGTAGGTTGCCTGTTCACTCTGATGGTAGTTTCTTTTGCTGTGCAGAAGCTCTTTAGTTTAATTAGATCCCATTTGTCAATTTTGGCTTTTGTTGCCATTTGTTTTGGTGTTTTAGACATGAAGTCCTTGCCCATGCCTATGTCCTGAATGGTATTGCCTAGGTTTTCTTCTAGAGTTTTTATGGTTTTAGGTCTAACATTTAAGTCTTTAATCCATCTTGAATTAATTTTTGTATAAGGTGTAAGGAAGGGATCCAGTTTCAGCTTCCTACATATGGCTAGCCAGTTTTCCCAGCACCATTTATTAAATAGGGATTCCTTTCCCTATTTCTTGTTTTTGTCAAGTTTGTCAGAGATCAGATAGTTGTAGATATGCGGCATTATTTCTGAGGGCTCTGTTCTGTTCCCTTGGTCTATATCTCTGTTTTGGTACCAGTACCATGCTGTTTTGGTTACAGCCTTGTAGTATAGTTTGAAGTCAGGTAGCGTGATGCCTCCAGCTTTGTTCTTTTGGCTTAGGATTGACTTGGCAATGTGGGCTCTTTTTTGGTTCCATATGAACTTTAAAGTTGTTTTTTCCAGTTCTGTGAAGAAAGTCATTGGTAGCTTGATGGGGATGGCATTGAATCTATGAATTACCTTGGGCAGTATGGCCATTTTCAAGATATTGATTCTTCCTACCCATGAGCATGGAATGTTCTTCCATTTGTTTGTATCCTCTTTTATTTCGTTGAGCAGTGGTTTGTAGTTCTCCTTGAAGAGGTCCTTCATGTCCCTTGTAAGTTGGATTCCTAGGTATTTTATTCTCTTTGAAGCAATTGTGAATGGGAGTTCACTCATGATTTGGCTCTCTGTCTGTTATTGGTGTATAAGAATGCTTGTGATTTTTGCACATTGATTTTGTATCCTGAGACTTCGCTGAAGTTGCCTATCAGCTTAAGGAGATTTTGGGTTGAGACGATGGAGTTTTCTAGATATACAATCATGTCATCTGCAAACAGGGACAATTTGACTTCCTGTTTTCCTAATTGAATACCCTTTATTTCCTTCTCCTGCCTGATTGCCCTGGTCAGAACTTCCAGCACTATATTGAATAGGAGTGGGGAGAGAGGGCATCCCTGTCTTGTGCCAGTTTTCAAAAGGAATGCTTCCAGTTTTTGCCCATTCAGTATGATATTGGCTATGGGTTTGTCATGGATAGCTCTTATTATTTAGAGATACGTCCCATTGATACCTAATTTATTGAGAGTTTTTAGCATGAAGGGTTGTTGAATTTTGTCAAAGGCCTTTTCTGCATCTGTTGAGAAATCATATGGTTTTTGTCTTTGGTTCTGTTTATATGCTGGATTACATTTATTGATTTGCATATATTGAACCAGCCCTGCATCCCAGGGATGAAGCCCACTTGATCATGGTGGATAAGCTTTTTGATGTGCTGCTGGATTCGGGTTACCAGTATTTTATTGAGATCTTATCATCTGCAAACAGGATAATTTGATTTCTTCCTTCCAAATTTGGATGGTGTTTATATCATTCTCTTGTTTGATTGTACTAGCTAGGATTCCAGTACTATGTCAAATAATGGTGGTGAAAGTGGATATCCTTGTTATGTTCCAGATATTAGAGGAAAGGTTTTCAGTTTTCTCCATTCAGTTGATACTAGCTATGGGTCTGTCATATGATTTTTTATCATGTTGGGGTATGCTCCTTCTATACCCAGTTTTTGAGGGTTTTTAGCACGAAGGGATGTTGAATTTTATCAAATGCTTTTTCTGCACAATTGAAATGATCATTTTTTTTTGTTCTTCATTTGGTTGATATAATGTATTACACTGATTGGTTTGCCTATGTTGAACCATCCTTGCATCCCAGGGATAAATCCCGCTTGGCCATGATAATCTCTCTTTTTTTTTTTTTGATAATCTTTCTAATGTGTTGTTGAATTCAATTTGCTAGTATTTTTTTGAGGATTTTTGCATTAATATTAATCATAGATATTGTCCTGTAGTTTTCTTTTTTGATGTGTCTTTGTCTGGTTTTGGTATCACGGAAATATTGGCCTTGTAGAATTAGTTTGGAAGTATTCCCTCCTCCTCTATTTCCTGGAATAGGTGGGGTAGGGTTGGTATTAGTTCTTTAAATGTTTAGTAGAATTCAGCAGTGAGGCCATTGAGTGTCAGGCTTTGCTTTACTGGGAGACTTGTTATTACAGCTTCAATCTCATTACTTGTTACTGGTCTATTCAGCTTTTTGATTTCTTCTTGGTTCAATCTTGGTAGGTGGTATGTGTATGGGAATTTTCCATTTCCTTTAGTTTTTCTTTATTATTTGTTTTCTACCAATTTTGGGTTTGGTTGAGTTTCATTGTTAGTTTATTTTTCTTTTCCTTTTTTTTTTTTTTTTTTGAGACAAGAGTTTTGCTGTATCTCCCAGGCTGGAGTGCAGTGGCATGATCTTGGTTCACTGCAACCTCCGCCTCCTGAGTACAGGCGTATCTCATGCCTCAGCCTCTCAAGTAGCTGGGACTACAGGTACATGCCTGGCTAATTTTTGTATTACTTTTTAGTAGAGATGGGGTTTCACCATGTTGGCAGGCTGATCTCGATCTCCTGGTCTCCAGTGATCCCCCCGCCTCGGCCTACCAAAGTGCTGGGATTATAGGCATGAGCCACTGTACCCAGCCTTTTCCTCTTTTTTGATTTATTCACTTACAGCTATAAAATTCCCTCTTTATACTGCTTTTAGTGTATCACATAGGTTTTGATATGTTGTGTTTCCATTATCATTTGTTTCAAGAAATTTTTACATTTCCTTAATTTTTTCTTTAACCTACTGGTCATTCAGGAGCATATTTTTTAATTTCTATGTATTTGTACACGTTCCAAAATTCCTGTTACTAATTTTTAGTTTTATTTCATTGTGGTCAAAGAATATGCTTGATATTACTTCAGAATTTTTGAATATTTTATGACTTGTTTTGTGACCTAAATATGGACAGTTATTGAGAATGATCCAAAGAATGTGTATTTTATAGCTCCTGGATGAAATGTTCTGTAAATATCTATTAGATCCATTTGGTCTATAGTGCAGATTAAGTCTGATGTTTCTTTGTTGATTTTCTGTCTGGAAGATCTGCCCAGTGCTGAATGTGGGATGTTGAAGTCTCTAGCTATTATGGTACTATGGTGTATCTCTTTCTTTACCTTTAATAATATTTGCTTTATATATCTATGTGTTCCAGTGTTGAGTTCATATATATTTAATATTATTATATCCTCTTGCTGAATTGACCTCATTATCATTATATAGTGACTTTCTTTGTGTCTTCTTGCAGTTTTTTCTGGAAATCCATTGTGTCTGATATAAGTATAGCAACTCCTGTTTTTTTTTGTTTTGGTTTCCATTGACGTGGAGTATCTTTCTCCATCCTTTGTTTTTAGCCTATGTGTGTCTTTATAGGTAAAGTGTGTTTCTTGTAGGCAACAGATCAATCAGTCTTGTTTTTTCATCCATTCTGCCAGTCTGTGTCTTTTGATTAGAGAGTTTAGTCCATTTACATTCAATGTTATTATTGGTAAGTATGGACTTACTCCTGCCCTTTTGTTATTTGTTTTCTGGTTGTTTTGTGGTCTTCTATTCCTTCTTTCCTTCCTTTTTGTCTTCCTCTAGTGAAGATTATTTCATCTGATTTAGTTTTTTGCTTTTTATTTTTTGTGTTTAAGGTTATCATGAGGCTTGCAAATATTATAACCCATTATTTTAACACAATAACAGCACTATTTGCATAAGCAAGGAAACAAGCAAACAGAAAACTAATAAGAACTCTATGCCTTAACTTTGTACCCCCACTTTTAATCATTTTGTTGTTTCTGTTTATATCTTATTGTACTGACTATGCCTTGAAAAGTGGTTGTAGTTACTATTTTTGATTGGTTAATCATTTACTCTTCTACTTAGGGTAGGGGTAGTTTACACACCATAGTTACAGTGTTATAATATTCTGTGTTTTTCTATGTATTTACTATTAACAGTGAGTTTTGTACCTTCAGGTGATTACTTATTATTGATTAATATCATTTTCTTTCTGATTGAAGTACTTCCTTTAGCATTTCTTGCAGGAAAGGTCTAGTGTTGATGAAATGCCTCAGCTTTTGTTTGTCTGGGAATGTCTTTGTTTCTCCTTCATGTTTGAAGGATATTTTCACTGGATATACTATTTTATGGTAAAAGTTTTTTGCCTTCAGCACTTGAAATATGTCATGCCCCTCTCTCCTGGCCTGTAAGCTTTCCACTGAAAAGTCTGCTGCCAGATATATTGCAGCTCCACTGTATGTTATTTGTCTCTTTTCTCTTGCTGCTTTTGTTTTATTTATTTTTTGTAGAGATGGGGTCTCACTGTGTTATCCAGCTTGTTCTCAAACTCCTGGGCTCCAAAAGCTTCTTAAGCTGATAAACAACTTGAGCAAAGTCTCAGGACACAGAATTAATTTGCAAAAATTGCCAACATTCCTATACACCAAGAGTGGGCGATCCAAGAGCTAAATCATGAGTGAACTTCCATTCATAATTAACACAAAAAGAATAAAATACCTAAGAATACAGCTAACAAGGGAAGTAAGGACCTCTTCAAGGAGAACTACAAACCACTGCCCAGAGAAATCAGAGATGACATAAACAGATGGAAAAACATTCCATGCTCATGGATGGGAAGAATTAGTATCTTTAAAACGCTAATACTGCCCAAAGCAATTTATAGATTCAATGCTTTTATTATTAAACTGCCATTACATTCTTCACAGAATTAGAAAAAAAGTATTTTAAAATTCCTATGGAACAAACGAAGAGCATAAATAGCCAAGGCAATTCTAAGCAAAAAGAACAAAGCTGGAGGCATCACAGTACCTGACTTCAAACTATACTACAGGGCTACAGTATCCAAAACAGCATGGTACTGGTACAAAAACTGACACAAAGACCAATGGAATAGATAGAGAAACCAAAAATAAGACCATACACCTACAATCATCTGATCTTCAACAAATCTGACCAAAACAGACTGTGGAGAAAGGATTTCCTATTAAATAAATGGTACTGGAAGAACTGGCTAACTGTATGCAGAAAATTGAAACTGGATTCCTTTCTTATACCATATACAAAAATCAAGATAGATTAAAGACTTAAATGTAAACCTTAAAACTATAAAACCCTGAAAGAAAACCTGGTCATACCATTCGGGACATAGGCATGGGCAAAGATTTCATGATGAAGATGCCAAAAACAGTCGTGACAAAAGCAAAAATTGACAAATGAGATCTAATTAAACTAAAGAGCTTCTGCACAGCAAAGGAAACTCTCAACAGAGTAAACAGACAGCCTACAGAATGGGAGAAAATTTCTGTAATCTATGCATCTGACAAAGGTCTAATATCCAGCATCTATAAGAAACTTAAATTTACAAGAAAAAAGAATAACTCTTTTAAAAAGCGGGCAAAGGACATGAACAGACACTTCTCAAAAGAAGACATACATGCAGCCAACAAACATATAAAAAAAAAGCTCAACATCACTGATTAGAGAAATGCAAATCAAAACCACAATGAGATACCATCTCACGCTAGTCAGAATTGCTATTATTAAAAATTCAAAAAATAACATGCTGGTGAGGTTGTGGAGAAAAAGGAATGCTTTTACACTATTGGTGGGAGTGTATATTAGTTCAACCATTATTGAAGACAGTGTGGTGATTCCTTAAAGACCTACAAACAGAAATACCATTTGACACAGCAATCCTATTACTGGGTATGCACCGTAAGGAATAGGAATCGTTCTGTTATAAAGACACATGCACATGTATGTTCATTGCAGCACTACTTACAATAACAAAGACATGGAATCCAGTTAAGTGCCCATCAGTGATAGACTGGATAAAGAAAATGTACATATACACCATGGTATACTATGCAGCCACAAAAAAGAATGAGATCATGTCCTTTGCAGGGACATGGATGGAACTGGAGGCCATTATCCTTAGCAAAGTAATGCAGGAACGGAAAAACACATACCACATGTTCTCACTTATAAGTGAGAGCTAAATGATAAGAATACATGGACACAAGGGGGAAACAACATACACTGGGGCCTATTGGAGGATGGTGGGTGGGAGGAGGGAGTGAATTAGGCAGAATAGCTAGTGGATTCTGGGCAATACTTGGGTGATGGGATGAACTGTGCAGTAAACCACCATGGCAAATGTTTACCTATGTAACAAACCTGCATATTGGGCATACATACCCCTGAAGCTAAAATAAACGTTGGAAATAAAACAAAAACTGGGCTCAAGTGATCCCTTGCCTTGGTCCCTCAAAGTACTGGGATTACAGGTGTGACCGCTATCCTCAGCCTCTTGCTGCTTTCAGGATCCTTTCTTTATCTGTGACCTTTTGGTGTTTAATTATTAAATGCCTTGAGGTAGTCTTTTTTGGGTTAAATTTGCTTGGCGTTCTGTAACCTTCTTGTACTTGGATACTTATATCTTTCTCTAGGTTTGGGAAGTTCTCTGTTATATCCCTTTGAATAAAGTTTCTACCCCGTCTCTTTCTCTACCTCTTCTTTAAGCCCAATAACTCTTAGATTTTCCCTTTTGAGGCTGTTTTCTAGCTCCTGTAGCCATGCTTAATCATTTTGTATTCTTTTTTCTGTTATCTCCTCTGACTGTGTATTTTCAAATAGCCTGTCTTCAAGCTCACTAATTTTTTCTTCTGCTTGACTAATTCTGCTATTAAAGGACTCTGGTGCAGTATTCAGTATGCCAATTGCATTTTTTTTTTTTTTTTTTTTGAGATGGAGTCTCACTCTATCACCCAGGCTGGAGTACAGTGGTGCAATCTTGGCTCACTGCAACCTCCGCCTACCGGATTCAAGCGATTCTCATGCCTCAGCCTCCCAGGTAGCTGGGATTACAGGCACATACCACCATGCCTGGCTAATTTTTTGTATTTTTAGTGGAGACGGGGTTTCACCGTGCTGGCCAGACTGGTTTCAAACTCCTGGCCTCAAGTAATCTGCCCACCTCGGTCTCCCAAAATGCTGGGATTACAGGCGTGAGCCACTGTGCCTGGCCGCCAGTTGCATTTTTTGGCTCCAGAATTTCTGCTTGATTTCTTTTAATTATTTCAATCTCCTTGTTAAATTTAGCTGGTATAATTCTGAATTCCTTCTCTGTATTATCTTGAATTCCTTGAGTTTCCTCAACACAGCTATTTTGAACTCTTTGCCTGAAAAGTCACATATGTGTGTTTCTCCAGGATTGGTCCCTGGTTCCTTATTTAGTTCATTTGGTGAAGTCATGTTTTCCTGGATGGTGTTGATGCTAGTAGGTGTTCTTTGTGTCTGGGCATGGAAGAGTTAGATATTTATTGTAGTCTTCACTGTTTGGGCTTATTTGTACCCATCCTTCTTGGGAAGGCTTTCCAGACATGTGAAAGAACTTGGGTGTTGTGATCTAAGCTGTATCTGCTTTAGGGGCACCCAAAGCCCAGTAACGCTGTGGTTCTTGCAGATTCATATAGGTACCACCTTGATGGTCTAAGATCTGGAAGAATTCTCTGGATTACCAGGTAGAGACTCTTGTTCTCTTCCCTTACTGTCTCCCAGATACATAGCCTCTGTCTTTGTTCTGAGTCACCTAAAGATGAGGGTGGAGTGACACAAGCACCCCTGTGGCCACCCTCACTATGATTGCGCCGGGTAAGACCTGAGGCCAGCACAGTGCTGGATCTCGCTCAAGGTCTGCTCTAACCACTCCCTGGCTACTGCCTGTTTACTCAAGGCCCTTAGGCTCTACAGTCAGTCGACGGCAAAGCCAGCCAGGCCTGTGTCCTTCCCTTCAGGCCAGGGAGGTCCCCCAGGCCCCAGGTGGGTCGAGAGGTACCGTTCACAAACGGTCTAAAGTCTAAAACCTCAGAAGTCTACTTGGCATTCTGTTGTACTGAGGCTGAGCTGCCACTCAAACCACAAGATGCAGTTCCTCCCACTCTAACCTTCCCTTTCCAAAGACGGGAGCCTCTCTTTTTAGCCACCACCACCCCAGGCCACAAGGAGTACTGCCTGACTACTGTTGATGTTCCCTGAAGATCCAAGGGTTCTTAAGTCAGCTTGTGGTGAATGCTGCCTGGCCTGGGACTCACCCTTCAGGGCAGTGGGCTCCCCTCTGACCCAGGGCAGGTCCAGAAATGCCATCCAGAAGTCAAGTCCTGGAGTCGGGGACCCCAGGAGCCTGCTTGGTGTTCTACCTTCCTGTGACCATGCTGGTACCTGAATCCAGGAAGTCTCAGAGGCTGACTCAGGGCCCTCGGCATAGTACCTGGGTATCCAAGCTGTTTATTCAGGGCCCAAGGGCTCTTCAGTTAGCAGGTATTGAATACTGCCAGGACTGGGTTCTTTTCTTCAAGGCAGCAGGTTCCCTTCTGGCGATTCTCATGCCTCAGCCTCCCAAGTAGCTGGGATTACAGGCACTCACCACCAAGCCTGACTAATTTTTTGTATTTTTAGTAGAGACGGGGTTTCACCATGCTGGCCAGGCTGGTCTCAAACTCCTGGCCTCAAGTGATCTGCCCACCTCGGCCTCCCAAAATGCTGGGATGACAGGCGTGAGCCACTGCACCTGGCCGCCAATTGCATTTGGCGCCAGGGTATGTCTACAAACGTTGTCTGGGGCCAGGCACAATGGCTCACACCTGTAATCCCAGCACATTGAGAGGCCGAGGCAGGCGGATCACCTGAGGTCAGGAGTTTGAGACCAGCCTGGCCAATATGGCGAAACCCTATCTCTACTAAAAATACAAAAAATTAGCTGGTTGTGGTGGTGGGCACCTGTAATCCCAGCTACTTGGGAGGCTGAGGCAGGAGAATTACTTGAACCCGGGAGGTGGAGGTTGCAGTGAGCCAAGGTCGCACCATTGCACTCTAGCCTGGGCGACAGATTAAGTCTGTCCCCCCACCAAAAAAAAAAAAATTTGTCTGGGAGGTGGGGCCTGGAACGGGGGCCTCACAACAGTGAGCATTACCCTCTCCCACTGTGGCTGAGCTGGTATCCAAGATGCAAGACAAAGCCCTTCCCATTTTTTCCTCTCGTCTTCTCAAGCAGAAGGAAGGGGTCTCTTTTGGAGCCCCAGCTGTGCTTGCCAGCACTCACTTGGCTGCCACAGCTGGTGTCTCAGTATGTCATGTGAGCCCCCATTCCATTGTCTCTGGGCCTAGTTCAGCACTAGGACTTGCCTAATTGTCACAGTCCTTATGGCCTAAACTGCCTTTCAAGTTCACTGAGAGTCACAGAGTGCTGTAGGCCTTGGTGGTGAGAACTCAAGTTCAGACTGCTGGGATAAGTGATTCCCTTCTGACTAGGGCTGATTTAAATGCTCCCTCCATGGATGGGTATCAGCTGAGTTTGGTCTTTTTTTTTCCTGCTCTAACAGGACAGCATTGAGTTCAGTGTGTCACAATTGCTGTGTTTTCTTTCCCACAGTGCCCAGAGATGCTCTCTGCAACATGCCGCTGCTGTAGGAGACGGGGGTGGGTGGGGGGTGGCATCAGGGATTCAAGACTGTTTTTTCTATCTCTTTAGTGCCTCTTTTCAGCAATACGAAGATAAAACCAGGTACTGAGAGCTCACCTAAGTTTTGGTTCTTATGAAGGTGTTTTCTCTGTGTAGATAGTTGTTAAATTGGTGTCCTTGAAGAGGGTAGTGGGGAGGATGATCAGTGGAGTCTTCTATTCCATTATCTTAGTTGGCCTTGGGCCAATATATATATTTTAACATGCAAACAAGCTGTATTGGTCAGTGCAGAAAATTAAGTTGCAGAACAATATAAATAGTATAATGACACCTAGAAAATAATGTATATGTGTGTGTGTATATATATATGTGTGTGTGTGTGTGTGTATTTTATTGATATGTAGAAATAGTCCCAGAATCATGCACATTACACTTTCAACCATTGTTAGCTGTGGTAAAGGGAGGAGAGTTTGGAAGGGAGGAAGTAATAAGGCTAAGTACAGCTCTGTAAGAACGTATTTAAGTTGACATTGGTATATTTTAACAGTGCATAAAGTGGCCAAGTGCAATGGCTCATACCTATAATCCCAGCACTTTGGGAGGCTGAGGTAGGCGTATTGCTTGAGCCCAGGAGTTCGAGACCAGCCTGGGCAACATAGTGAGACCTCTTCTCCACAGTAAATCAAAAAATTAGCCTGGCATACAGCTGTGGTTCCAACTACTTGGGAGACTGAGGTGGGAGGATTGCTTGAGCCCAGGTTGTTGATCATGCCATGATAGACCCTGTGACCATGATCACACCACTGTACTACAACCTGGGCGACAGAGCAAGACCCTGTCTCAAAAAAAAAAAAAAGGGAAAATTGGATACAATAATAAGTGTACATTGCAGAATATTTGGAAAACTTAAGAGACAGTAAAATGCATCAGTAATTTTATCACTTAAAGGTGACTACTGTCATTCTATTTTGTATCCTTCTGGTTGGCTTTCTGTTCCAATATTAGCATATGACTGTAAAGGAACACTTAAAAGTGGTCTCCAACCTTTTTGGCACCCCAGACTAGTTTCATGGAAGACGATTTTTCCACAGACGGGTGGGGGGCTGGGGGGTAGGTGGGTGGTAGGTGGTTTCGGGATGAAACCATTTCACCTCAGATCATCAGGCATTAGATTCTCATAAGGAGCACACAGCCTAGATCCTTCACATGCGCAGTTTACAATAAGGTTCACACTCCTATGAGAATCCAGTGCTGTGACTGATCTGACAGGAGGAGGAGGCAGAGCTCAGCCAGTAATGCTCACTTGCCCTCCACTCACCTCCTGCCGTGCGCTGGATTCCTAACCAATCCATGGCCCTGGGGGTGGGGGATCCATGGTATATATGGTACCTATTTCATTTAACATTCTAAGTTGTGCTCCATTGAACATTGTCTTACCTAAATGATTGTGCACATCTAACCATTTCTAAAGATAAATTTTCAGAAGTGGGTTCATGGGAAGAAAAACACAAGAATGTTTTAAATTCTTTTGTATATAATGCCAAAGTGCCTTCTAGAAAAGTTCATGTCCACATCCACCAGTAGTATTTCAGAGTGTCTATCTTACTGCATACTGCCAGGATCAGATATTCTATTAATCTTTGTTAATTTGATGGATCAAAAAGACTTTGTGTTTTAATTTACATTTCTTTACGAGTAACATAGAGAGAGAGAGAGAGTGTGTGTGTGTGTGTGTGTGTGTGTATATATATATATATGCTTTTGTTCCAGGCCTAATATATATTTATTAGGCCTGGGACAAAAGCTTTAGTGAACCAAATTTAATAAAGCTTTGGCATAAATTGAAGGAAGGTACAGTAATATACTGAGGCTGCTTTCAATAAAAACAGCAGAACATGTATGTTCAAATTAATGCTTGTCCCTTCAAAATACTAATTAAAATCAACTCCATTGATGCACCATTGCTTAAGACATCTTGGGAATCTTGTGTTTGGTCTGACTTCTGAAGCACCTTTGGTTTCTTTAGGATTTCCCTAGTGGTGGCATGACTCCAGCTTTTGCTGATGGGCTCAGAATTTGGAAGTTTAAGAAATAAGATAACCCAAACTTAATAATGCCATTTTTTCTTTTCATTTTATGAAGGGATAGCTATTGGCCTGGTGTGCTGGCTCATGTCTGTAATCCTAGCAGTTTGGGATGCTAAGGTGGGATGATCACTTGATGTCAGGAGTTCAAGACCAGCCTGAGCAATGTAGTGAGACCCCATCTCCACAAAAAAAGACGGGAAGATAACTATGAATAAATTGTTTCTTTTTTTTAAAAATGACTTACAAATAGGCTCTGAAGGTGGTTTGTTTATGCAGAAACATTTGCAGAATATCCCATTGGGCGTTAGGTGCTATATTGGGCTCTGGGCTTACAATTACAGAAATTTTATAGTCTGTGCTCTCCAGTCTTTTTGGAGAGGTAGTGCCCACATTGAGCACTGAAAGACAAGTAGGGGGATATAAATCTAGATAAGGAGTCAGTCGGACAGAGTGGGGTGAAGGATGTTCAGACAGGGAAACACACATGCAAAAGAGGGAAGGTGGGACACAGCATATGCATCCAACATTTGGTAGGGCCGAGGCCCCACATGGGAGCAGTGAGAGGTTAGGGATCAAGGAAGTAGGCACCAGATCATGAAGGGTCTTGCTAAGACTTTATTCTGAAAGCTTCAGGGAGCCTTTTAAGGATTTCTAGTGGAGTTGTTTCATGATCAGATCTGAACTTAGAAAAACTGACATCTTATTTTTGGAGGACTCATAAGGGTAGGGCAGAAGTGAGGAAAAGAATTAAGCAGCCAGTAATCCAGGCAGCAAGAGGTCTGAGCCTGAGTTCAGTGGCCAGGGCAGGTAGAGAGAAGTGAACAGCAGGACAGCATCATTAAGGAGACTTGGATTGTATGTGGAGGGCAAAGCAGAGGGAGGGGTCTGAGTGGTGAGGGCCAAGTTTTGGAGGAAAGTGGATGATGCTGAGTTGAGTCACCAGGATAGACAGTGTGGAGCCAGGGACAAGAGCGTGATGAAGGAGATGCTCAGGTTTGGTCATGCTGAATTTGAAATGGCTCTGGGAAATTTAAGAAGAGGTGCCGTGTAGATAGTTGGATCAGAGCCTAGGATGTAGACAAAGTCTGGGAACATAGATTTGGGAGCTATGAACACATTCCCCAGGAGAAGTCACAAAAATGTCCCAAGCAGCAGGAGCCTGGTATGGTGCTTGGGTTTCACCCTGATATGCCCTGTTCCTTTCAGGGTATTGCAGTTTCAGGTTGCTCCTGTCTCACACCTAGATATTTTGGCTCTTAGCTTTGATCAGATATAGCTATCAATCCCTGCATCAGTGAACTCACAGGCCACAGCTAAAGATATGCTGTCATTGAAGACAGGTTTGCCCTCTAAATCTAAAAACCAAGTGAGCAATTAGAAATTGTTTAAGTGCCCATTAATAGGAAATAGAATAAATATATTGGGGAAAGTCCATATAATTATTATAGCATAAATTGGATCATGTCATTCCCCCACTGAAAGCATGCTGGTGACTTTCTTTTTGCACCTGGAATACAATCCAGACACCTTAAGACCTTGCATGATCTAACCGTGGCCTATCTCTTTTGGCTTCATCCCATGCCACCTTCCTTCATGCCAGGATCTTCTTTGACTCACTCAGTCACACACTTTCTCATCTCATCCTTTGCTCATGGTGTCCCTTCTCTGTGAACCATCTTATCATTTAGTAGTAACTACTTCTCCTTCAGCTTTCAGCTTAAATGACCTCTCAGGAGAGGGTCCTTTGGATCCCTCCCCACTTCCCACTCCCCTACTCACCTGTGTTTTTACTTTATGATCTCAGTCTGTGATTTTTTTTTTTTTGCCTTTTGTCTGCCCTTCCGTGAGGTTAGGGATTGTAAGTATTATAACCCTAGTACCTGAAACATAGTAGGCACTAAATAAACTTTTTTTTTTAATGAATAATATTTTAGAAGGGGAAATATTTTTGTCTTAATTCAAGCTGCTGTAACAGAGTACCATAAACTGGGTGGTTTAAGGAACAGATATTTATTGCTCACAGTTGTGGAGGCTGGGCAGTCCAAGACCAAGATATAGGCAGAACCAGTGTTTGCTGAAGGCTGGTTTCCCGGTTTGCAGATGGCCACCTTCTCCCTATGTCCTCACATGGTGGAGAGAGAGCAGAGAGAAGAAGAAAGCTATCCTGTCTCTTCTTATAAGGGCACTAATCCCATTCATGAGGACTCTACTCTCATGACCTAATAACCTCCCAATATTATCACATTGCCTCGTAATATTATCACACTGAGGTTAGGATTTCAACATGAATATGGGGGAGACACAAACATTTAGTCTGTAATAATTGATAAGTGAAAAAAGAAAAAAGACATACAAGCATAGAATGATCATTTCCAAAAAAGAAAAATTTCTGTACATATATGTGTGTATTTATATGTTCATATATAACATAGGAAAAAAAGAGAAAGTGTATGACCCAGTCTGTTTCCAACTACATCTGTGCAGTGGGAGTAGGTCAGGACCTTTTATGGCCTATTTTATTTACTTCTATATTATAGTATTTATTTTTATAGTGGGTATGTTTATATTATTAAAAATAAATCCAATTAAAATTTCCAGTCCTTTTAACAATCACATTTGTTTTTATGGCAAATGACTCTAATATGGGCATTTTTTTTTCCAGATTTTCCAGTTAATGAGATACTTGAGATGCAAAATTTGTTTTGATTTAGACCAGTGAATTAAGATTAGGTACTCATTAAACGACTGTGAAAGTCCTTTATAGATAATTTTGCTTTATAGATAATTTAGTGCTTCTAGTGAAACAAATTTAACTGATGGCCTTAGCTTGGCTATTGTTGAAGAATCCTTCACTGTTAGGCTCCCCTGCAAGACTTCCCTCTTCAGCACTTGTTTTTTTTTTTTTATTTTTTTTTATTTTTTATTTTTTTTTTATGTCTATACAAAATATTTATTTTTTTATTATACTTTAAGTTTTAGGGTACATGTGCACATTGTGCAGGTTAGTTACATATGTATACATGTGCCATGCTGGTACGCTGCACCCACTAACTCGTCATCTAGCATTAGGTATATCTCCCAATGCTATCCCTCCCCCCTTCCCCCACCCCACAACAGTCCCCAGAGTGTGATATTCCCCTTCCTGTGTCCATGTGATCTCATTGTTCAATTCCCACCTATGAGTGAGAATACGCGGTGTTTGGTTTTTTGTTCTTGCGATAGTTTACTGAGAATGATGATTTCCAATTTCATCCATGTCCCTACAAAGGACATGAACTCATCATTTTTTATGGCTGCATAGTATTCCATGGTGTATATGTGCCACATTTTCTTAATCCAGTCTATCATTGTTGGACATTTGGGTTGGTTCCAAGTCTTTGCTATTGTGAATAATGCCGCAATAAACATACGTGTACATGTGTCTTTATAGCAGCATGATTTATAGTCCTTTGGGTATATACCCAGTAATGGGATGGCTGGGTCAAATGAAATTTCTAGTTCTAGATCCCTGAGGAGTCACCACACTGACTTCCACAATGGTTGAACTAGTTTACAGTCCCACCAACAGTGTAAAAGTGTTCCTATTTCTCCACATCCTCTCCAGCACCTGTTGTTCCCTGACTTTTTAATGATTGCCATTCTAACTGGTGTGAGATGGTATCTCATTGTGGTTTTGATTTGCATTTCTCTGATGGCCAGTGATGATGAGCATTTTTTCATGTGTTTTTTGGCTGCATAAATGTCTTCTTTTGAGAAGTGTCTGTTCATGTCCTTCACCCACTTTCTGATGGGGTTGTTTGTTTTTTTCTTGTAAATTTGTTTGAGTTCATTGTAGATTCTGGATATTAGCCCTTTGTCAGATGAGTAGGTTGCGAAAATTTTCTCCCATTTTGTAGGTTGCCTGTTCACACTGATGGTAGTTTCTTTTGCTGTGCAGAAGCTTCAGCACTTGTTTACTGGTCACATGCTTTACACAGCACTCTGCTTAGATTTTGCCTTTGAGGTTGGCCATCTCCCTTCAGCTGCTCTGATTTGGAAGAAGGGCGAGGGTTGCAGCTTTCCCTGAGATAGGGTGACCTTTTTTTCCCTTCTGTCTTCACATCCTAATCACACCACTTCTAACTGGATACGAATGTCTTAACTGTGAAAAACTGTGAGTTCTCTGTCAGAAATGAATCTCTAGGGCTTCCCAAGTGGTAATTATTTCCTGTGAGAGTTCTGCTTTTGAAAGTGAGGTTTCTCTCCTTGACCTTTAACCCTCGTTACTCTTCTGTGTTCCCAGTTGGTTCGACTATGCAATGAGGGCGCCCGGAAGATGGAAAGGACTGAGATGATGTACACAATTAACTCCCAGCTGGAATTTAAAATTAAGGTATTCTCGTACCTTGTTCATTACTGTTCTTGCCTATGTTTTTCTCTAAATAGAGAGAGACAGTTGAGGGCAACAAAGTAGATAGGAAATTGCTTTTCAAAGAAGGGTCATAAATTGCTAAGAGGGAGTAGCAGATGCTTCAGGCAATTTTGCTTTTGCTTGTACCAGACAGAGTGACCTTCCTCCAGGCCCTGAAGCCAGGCATTATCTAAGAAGCACTTTTTTTTTTCCAGGAAGACACCAAGCTTAGGGGAATAAATAAAATAATAGAATAGGGTAGTTAAAATAATAGAATTTTAGAATTGAAAGGAGATTCCTTCATTATTCTCAAAATGTTCTGAAAAACAGTAATATTCCATGAGCTGGACCAGTGTTCTCCTAAATTAAATAAGGACACTCCTTTTCTCGTTTACAAAACAGATCGTTAATGGATAATTTTTTTCAAGTTTGTTTTTCTCTCATAATTTTTTTGAATATGTGCTGCTTGTTATTCCTTGTCTGATACTGCTCTTGAGCAGATGACAAGATGAACAAAAAAGAAGAAAATGACAGCTAATGGCAAATCTAGGTCATGGCCATTCTTTTGTTGGCTCATGGCTGAGTTTTTAATGGGAAGTGAGTGCTCACGATTGTGACTCTATTGTTTTATAACTTGTAAATGTAATTAAACAATTTTAAATGACTGGTCATATTTTTCCCTAGTAAAAGTGTTTCTATTTCATGCAGTCAAATTATAGTGATCAGCATTTCATGGTATTCTGTAAAGAGCAGATTCTCTGCCATGTCATGTAGTTTGAGGATTACTGCATGCTTGCTTTGGCAGCATATATACTAGAATTGAGGATCACTGATATAGTCCAGCTACACCCTTTTATTTTATGAATGAGGAAAAGAAACCCAGAGAATAATTGTCAGCAGAGTCACTTGGCTAGTGGTGATAAAATCAGGACTAAGGTCTAGATGTCCTGACTTGCAGGTCAGTGTAAACTCTTCTACTGTAACATTCTGACTCTAATGGTTTAGATGCAGAAACACAAACTGTAAAAGGGAAGAAGATGGGTATTTGCCAAAAACCAGACACACATGCACACACATGCATGCACGCACACTTTAAATAGTTTTAATGTTCTTGTACAGAATTTTATAGCAATTAAAAAACCCATCTTTCTCCCAACTCTCAGAATCTCGTTCTCTCTAATTTGTTTCTAAATATTTTGGAAAGTATATCTGACAAGTTTGTTTTTTGTTTTTTAATTTCCTCCTTTTGAAAGATGAAAAATTCCCTAACCATTTTTCTTTTCCCTTCTTCACTGAAAGTCACTTGGTATAAGATTACTTTAAGAAACTCTGTCTAGGCCGGGCGAGGTGGCTCATGCCTGTAATCCCAGCACTTTGGGAGGCCGAGGTGGGTGAATCACCTGGGGTCAGGAGTTCGAGAGCAGCCTGACCAACGTGATGAAACCCTGTCTCTACTAAAAATACAAAAATTAGCCGGGTGTAGTGGCAGGCACCTGTAATCCCAGCTATTTGGGAAGCTGAGGCAGGAGAATTGCTTGAACCCAAGAGGCAGAGGTTGCATTGAGTTGATATCTCACCACTGCACTCCAGCCTGGGCAAAAGAGCAAGACTCTTAAAAAAAAAAAAAGAAAAAGAAAAAGAAACTCTGTCCAGTACCCAAAATTAATTTGTAATTGAAAAATGCTAACCCCAAGGATCATTAAAAGTAAGTGATTAACTGAGGTCAGGAGATCGAGACCATCCTGGCTAACACAGTGAAACCCCTTTTCTACTAAAAATACAAAAAAATTAGCCGGGCGTGGTGGCGGGCACCTGTAGTCCCAGCTACTCGGGAGGCTGAGGCAGGAGAATGGCATGAACCCGGGAGGCGGAGCTTGCAGTGAGCCGAGATCGTGCCACTGCACTCCAGCCTGGGCGACAGAGCGAGACTCCGTCTCAAAAAAAACAAAAAACAAAAAACAAACAAAAAAGTAAGTGATTAACATCAGTTGAGTTCCTGAGTTTTGGTTGTTTTCATTCAATGATTAAAATATTTGCGAGCATAAAGTATGGATTTACAGTGGAGCACCTCATTTAGAACACTTAGAATTACTAATTATTACTAATTGGAAATACTCGTAAAATCTTAGGACCTTATAATACTATATGAATAACAGTGGACATTTCTATTTAATTTATTTTAATGATGATAAAATAGAGGTTCAATGAGGTTAAATGATTTATCCAAGTACATGGCAAGTATTGTAAGAATAGAGCAGATTTACTGAGCATCTTCCATGTGGAAGGCAGTAGATAAAAACGTGATCATCCCTCCCCTCATAGTCTAGTAGAAGACTGCTGAAAATCAAAGGAGTCAGCAAAGTCTACAGCTGTCACAGTAGCTAGAAGACTATGGAAAATACTGGAAATGGAAGGGAGATGGACAACTCTAAGAGCAAGAGACAGAGAGGGCTGGGGGACTTGGAGCAGTCTGGCAAGGCTTAATGCCAGAGGTGTGTTTGACCTGAATCTTGAAAGGTGAGTTAAGAAGGGCCTTAGAGCAGAAACAAATGCACAGTTTCCACTCCTGTGGCCCAGGAATTGTAAGCATTCAGTGTGGGTAGACTTGGGGTGCAAGAGGAGCAGGGTGGAGCTACAGTAGCAGGCAAACACTCCTGCGGACAGCCCTGTGTACCAAGAGGAGGAGCTGAGTGAGGTCATTTGGGAGCCACCGAAAAGTTCTAAGCAGGGAAGTGAAGCAATCAGATGTGTGTTTAGTAAAGACAACTTCAGCAATGGGGAAAGGCTTTTCCAACTTACTCCAAATCCAGAAGTCATTAAAAGAAAAAAGTCCTAATTAATCTATATAAATTTTTAAAAAATTTCTCTATAGAGGGAAAAAGACCATGAAAAAAGTGAAAAGGCAAATAGCAAACTGGAGAAAAAAATAGTTGCAACTCACATATAGACAAAGGGTAAATATCCCCGATGTATAAAATCAAAATGATAAGAGAAGACCCACTAGTCTACAAGCCAAGGAGCACCAAAGATTGCCAGCAAACTACCAGAAGCTGGGGGAGAGGCCTGGAACAGATTATTCCCTAGCACCTTCTGAGAGCCTGGCCTTGCTGACACTTTCATCTTGGCCTGTCTTCCAAAACTGTGAGACATAAATTCCTGTTGTGTAAAACAAAAAAAAAAAACCACTAGAAAGTTGCAAATTAGAAAACTGCTACCAGAAAAGGAAATCCAAATGATGACAAAGTTTTGAAGATGCTTTATTTCACTCAGAGGAAAATTGCTAATTGAAGATTAGCAGATAAAGATAATGAACTTCACCTTTTAGATTTATAAATAATTCAAAAGTTTGATACCCCATTTTATTGATGGAATTGGAGAAAAAGGCATTTTTATATGTTGCTGGTGGGAAAGATTGTTTTACCCCAATGGTGTGCAATTTGGCAATAACTATCAAAATTACAAATGCAAGTTACTACAACTCAGCAATTTTACTTCTAAGAATTCTACAGATGTACTCATGAATGTATAAAATTAAACACACACTGAGCTATTATTATAGTGTTGTTTGTAATAGTGAAAGATGAGGAAAAACATCTAAATATCTATCAAAGAGGATTAATTAAATAAATTATAGTATACGCAAATAATGTGATACCACTCAAAAGAATAAAGGAGAATTTTAGATACCTATATGGAAAGCTTTCTTATATATTATTAAATGAAAAAAGTAAGGTTTAGATATAAAAAAATACAGTTTGCTTTTGCAGATGAAATATTTGGACAGATGCAGATGAAACTAGTTATTGGTCATTACCCGTGAGGGGCAGTGGTCAGGGAGTGGGCCTTGTCGGGTTGACTGGGTGGAGAGCCACCCACTCACTCAGATAGGAAATTCAGGAGGAGGAACAAGTTTTGGGGGAAGGTAATGAGTTCTATTTTGGCCATATTTGGTTTATGGTATGGCCATAGGTGCTACTACTATGAGAATATTGGTTGCAAATTTACTAAGTAGTGCCATTTTCACATTTATCTGATTTAATTCTCACATGAACCCTATAATGTACCCTTATTATTAACTTCACTTTATAGATGAAGAACCTGAAACTAGAGAGATTAAATTCTTTGCTCAAGGTTATACACCAAGACGTTATAAAGTCTAGATTCAAATCTTTGACTCCAGAGTCCACATTCTTAACAATGACTGTATGATAATGATAATATGGATATTTTTCTAATTTGGAGGAAAGTAAATTTTGTAGGGCATGTGTGTGTGTTTTTCATTGTCATTTCACACGTTTTTTATTTTTAATTTTGCTTATGATTTTCTGGAAGACTGTCAAGTGCTAAACTGCAGTAATATGAGAGGAGATGGAAAGCATCCCTGGATTGGCACTTTGGAAGCTAGTGTAAAGTTAGAGCACAGGCTCCAGAACTGACCTGCCTGAGTTGCAGTAGAAGCTCCACCACTTACTAGCTGTACAACCTTGGGCATCACTTACCTTTTCATGTCTTGGTTTTCTGAACCCTAAAGTGAAGCTGATGATAGTACTTTCCCTCATGGAATTATTTTGAAAATTAAATTATTTAAGAGATATAAAGGGTTTAAATAGACCTGATTTATAGTAAACAAGCAGCAAACATTGTTGATGTGTTTTATCAGAGTAGTTAAATAGATGTGGGTGCATTGAAGAGTGAGTGGGATGTGAAGCAGTTGAAGCAGATTAGACTTTTCATTCCAGAAGCTTGACTATCAAGAGGATAGGGCAGTGATGATAACTAGAGGATTCACAAAGTCAAGGGACCATTTTTTGTGAATAGTCTTCAGGATAGTTTGCAGAAAGGGAGCCAGGAGGGAGAGAATACTAATGAGAGGGGAATAAATCAAGGGAATAAGGCCTTAGAGCTGAAAACAGGGTGTTGAAGACAGGAGAGCTTATCCTCTGAGATGGGAGGAAAGAAAATGATGGTTGTAGAGAAAAAGCTGGTCACTAAACCAAGAAGATCGAAAACCAGAGATTAGTTTGTGTCTCAAATCCAGTGTTTTTTCTCCACTAGAAAACAGCTTTCTTTAAAAGTTGCCTCTACAGAGTTGGGAAGAATTTTGTTTTTTTGTCTTGCGATGGAAAGTTTGACCTTATGAATAAGCACATGGAGAAGTTGAGGTTTCTCAGGCTGCTTTAGGAGACATACATTCAGTGTGATTGAGTGGAGTGGTGGTATGTTAGTTGACAGAAGGCTTTGCTGGTTGCCATTTGGGGGCCTTGCTAACAATGGAAATCCAAGAAAAATCTTTGTGCTGTAGAGGACAGTTTGTTAGTTTCCCAAAAATCTAAACATAAGAGTTACTACTATATGACCCAGCAGTTCCACTCCTAGGTATATACCCAAGAGAACTGAAAAGAGATGTTCAAAAACATATACACAAATCTTCATGGCAGCATTGTTCATAATAGCCAAGAAAGTGAAAATACCCCAAATCAACGGATGAATTGATAAACAAAATGTGATATATGCATATAGTAAAATATTTAGGCACAGAAAGGAATAAAGTTCTTATACATGCCTTGTGGATGAACCTTGGAAATGTTATGCTAGGTGAGAGAAACCAAATTCAAAGATCACATATTGTATAATTCCATTTATATGACACATCCAGTATAGACAAATCCATAGAGTTAGAAAGTAGATTAGTGGTTGCCAGATGCTTGGGGGAGGAAGAGTGGCAGATGACTGCTCAATGCATATGGGGTTTCCTTTTGAGGTAATGAAAATGCTCTGGAATTACATAATGTTGATTATTGAACAATATTATGAACATACTAGAAACCACTGTATTCTACACCCTTTGAAGTGGTGAAATGGTGAATTTCATGTTATGTAAATTTTATCTCAACATTAAAAAAATTATTTGCTCTTCAGCAGCTCTCTCTTTTCTTGCTGCCCCATAAAATTAGTTACATTTTATGCCAAGGCTAGCTTTCTAGGATGCCAGGTAATAGAAAAAAAAAAATGAAATGTCTGTGCTCCATAGGCACAGACTATTTCAGTACTATTTAGGATAGTATTTCAGTACTATTTAGGATATATCTTTGTTCATGAATTTCTTTTCTAGTTTCTGGTTCACACATGGATTCTAGTCTCAGCATTTCCTTACTAGGGGAATTCACTCATGCTCACTTTGGGCTGTTCTGATTTCCTTTATTTGGATCATTTTAATATCTCTTCTTTAATAAAACCTATCTGATTGAGTTCAGTCTTCTAACAATAAATCTGAAACATAAACTATATATAAAATGTTGGGCTTTTGTTTTCAAAAGAAGCATAGATGTATTGAAAGCTTTTGTCAATTTTAGGTGTTTATAGGTAGAAATTTAGTTTTGCCCCTAGTGGAGTATGAGGACTCCATAAAAATGAATCTGCTTTAAAAACAATAAAACAATTTAAAAATCTTTCTTTCTCCACCCCCTAAATCAGAACAGTCACAGGGCAGCATGTGCACTGAAACTTAACCATAATATTGTCCTTGGTTCATCTTGTAGGGTTATACGCAATAGCAAGATAGTCCTGTGTTTCCTGTAATTCCGGCCCTTCAGCCGGACCTACCCTGACACAAGGTGACCTCTTGTATGTGCTGCCTAGTCTGCCGGAGTTATCTAAGCAATCTGTCGACCTTTAAGGTTTCAGCTGTCTCTGTAGGGTAATTGTCTGATTTCGAGATTTTGGGGGTTGGGAACTTCATAAACTCCCTTAGCAGCCAGTTTTGAAAAGTTTGGGGTTAGCCATAATCTTTTATCTTCGTTTTTTGGACCTTCAGGAAAATAGTATATAAATGATAAGCAACCTTCTTATAAAAGCTCTTTATAAAGTTTAAAATAAATATGAAATCCTTTCTTAGCCTTCTCATTTCCTCTCTAATATCCTCAATTTCCTTTAGCTATTTTTAATCATTATTTCCTGAAAAGGGTGATGTTTGATTGCATCACATTTCTGCATTATGTTTTGTGTGTCCAAGAACTTTTGCTTATTTTATGGATGTAGTCTTTTAAATCAGAGTTTTGGCAGTAAACATTTCTGGTAACTTAAAAAAAAAAAGCTTTCAAGGGTAAGGATTGTTCTGTAGTTTTGAGAGTTTTCCAGTTGGCTTGTACAAGACTGAATAAAGAAAATAAAAAAGCAGTATGTAATTTTTTGGATACAGCCTTTTCTATGATATTATAATGATTATGATGGATTATTTTGGAAGAACCTCATTTTCACAGCCAGAAAGTAGTATGATGCTTTCAGGTACAAACTTCCATGAAGCAAGCTACCATGATCTTAAGAACAGGTGTTCTCAAGAATATGGCTAAATAGATAATTTGTAGACAAAAAAATAAGCATGTAGGTTTTTTTCTCTTGAAAGAAACCTTTTTACTTCATGAAGTAAATGTAGACTTTTATATTTGTCTCGTTAACCTATAGTTGTGTTTTTCTGTATGTTTAGATTCTGATTTGAGATATTTAAAATAACTAGTTGATTCTGATATATTTTATTACTAGGCTTTTCAATTGTAAATAACTCCTTACTTTCTTTTTCAGTTAAGAGTTAATAGAAGGGTCATAATTTTTTATTGATCCAATAACATTTTCTCATTGAGTTTTAGTTTCATATTGGGAAGTTAATAGTTTTTTATAGTGGAAGATATATTGTTCTTTTTCATTTTTTCTTGAAGAATGCACTGTACTTCTGTATTTATAGTTCAGTTTTATATGCCTATAAAACAATGATGCATACTATGATAAGTATCATTTGTTTGAATGTACGTTTTAGCTTTTACTTTCAGTAAACTTAAAAGGATTTCAATTTAGCTTTGGTCACTGGGTTTTTCTCCTTTTGTAGCCTTTTCCTTTAGTCTCCTCTTCCCGGTGGTTGGTAAAAAGAGGTGAATTGACAGCCTATGTTGAAGACACTGTGCTTTTCTCAAGAAGGACATCCAAACAGCAAGTCTACTTCTTTCTCTTTAACGATGTGCTCATTATCACCAAGAAGAAGAGGTAAGTCTTTATCTGGTGTTGCTGACTAGACATTCCAGTTTTAAAGTTCTGTAATTCAGATGCCTGTTAGGGTGATCATCCTTTAAAAGCTAGAAATGTTGGAAGTATAGTTTCTACATACTGAATCATAATTGCATCTATGGTTCATTTTCTTTAAATTGCTTATGTAGTTTCAGACGAATCATTATCTGCATCATAATTCTTGCCAACCTCTATTGAGCCACTGTTCTAAGCATTTTACACATTTATATCATTCAATTCTTATGATATCCCTGAGAAGGTAGCACTGTTTTTATTCTCATTCTGTGTTTTTCAGACTCCTTCTACCATAAAATTTTTGTGTAAAACAGAAAAAAGTTGGTCCAGTTGAGAACAGGTTGGGGAGCAACTCTAGTGCTCCTTTTAACTTAATTTAAAATGCACTGCTTTTAATGATCCTTAGTCTAAAACATTCCCCTGTGACTGGGAAGGTGTTAGCCATACTCCCTTCTGAAGGGAATGAAGTAAATCATTTGATTGGCAGAGTGTTTGTTCTTCTTACTCCAGGCTTCTAGTTCTGTGTTTGTGTCCAGCTCTGGTGAGATGTCCATGAAGAATATTGTAGAAACCTTTTCTTTCCAGTATTTCTTCTGTCAGACTGTTTCTGTTCTACACACACACACACACACACACACACACACACACACCCCTTCAGCTCTGCCTTTCTCTAGGGAACATACTTTATTAAATGCACCCAACACATGTAAGGTCCTATGTAAATATTCCGTCTTTCCTAGAATATGAACTTAGAGTGAAAACTTAAATCTGTGGGCTGTTATTTCCACATATGAGGGAAATGATGGTGGCCTGAATTGATGGCATATGGTGGGATCAGGGGTGGTCCTGGGGTGCAATTTAGGCAAGGTGAAGAGAATTATAGAAACAGATCTCTATGAAAATACAAAATAAATGTCCAAATGTATCAGGCATATTTAATTAAATGCTAGTTCTGAGTTGCTGACTTTATAGCTTGAAAATTCAAACTAAATTAAAACAGATTGAGTTCTTCTTTTTGCTCCTTTTAATCAGACCATATTATGAATTATTTCAGCTGAGTGGCTGTCTAGCTGAAATGAAATGTTAGTATGGTCTTCCCTGAGAAGCCATAATGTGACAATGATACATACATTAAAATGCTGATCATTATTTTTCATACTTAGGAAAATTCTATTTCCATATCTCCAAGGAGAAATTACTTCTCTTACCTGGAGTAGTCTAAATAGTTCTAGCAGCTAAGTAAAAATTTTTTTTTTTTTTTTTTTTTGAGATAGAGTCTTGCTGTGTCCCACAGGCTGGAGTGCAGTGGCGTGATCTCGGCTCACTGCAGGCTCCGCCTCCCGGGTTCACGCCATTCTCCTGCCTCAGCCTCTCGCAGGCGCCCGCTACCACACCCAGCTAATTTTTTGTATTTTTAGTGGAGATGGGGTTTCACCATGTCAGCTAGGATGGTCTCAATCTCCTGACCTCGTGATCTGCCTGCCTCAGCTTCCTAAAGTGCTGGGATTATAGGCATGAGCCACTGCGCCCAGCCGTAAATTTTATAAAGAAAGATGGGAGAAGAATTATAATTTTTATGTTTTTGTGTTTTGTTGGTTTCCTATGAGATAGCATTTTTCCTTGGCTTTCTCCAGGATGTTTTGTTTTTAGGGGAGAGTAGTTATATATGTCTCTTCAAATGCCAGAACTCTTGACTTTTAACATCTTCCAGCTGTTGAAATATTTGTTCTGTCTCAGTAGACCAAGAGCTTTAACTAAAATTTGATTTAAATGGTAAAATGTACACTGACAGTACCAAGCCAATTTTAAATATAAATGTAATTTCGATTATGATGACTTTGGTGACTTAATGAAAATATTAAAGGTATTTAAACCAGTACAGTGCAACTTTTGTTCTTGAATTTGCACAGACCTACTCAATAAATATAGACTATTGAAAGTCAGAATTAAGGTATATGCTCTTCTACTTAGTAGCGTACTTTGCCCTTCACAGATGGTGTTGCTCTCCTAGCTATCCCACATTTATTTGCTCAGGTAAATTTGAACTTGTATTATTAATAAAGAGCAATGCCATTGGGAGTCTTTGAGAATTTTTTTTTTTTTTTTGAGACGGGCGTTTTGCTGTTGTTGCCCAGGCTGGAGTGCAATGGCATGATCTCTGGTTCACTGCAACCTCTGCCTCCCAGGTTCAAGTGATTCTCCTGCCTCAGCCTCCTGAGTAGCTGGGATTACAGGCATGCGCCACCATGCCTGGCTAATTTTGTATTTTTAGTAGAGATGGGGTTTCTCCATGTTTGTCAGGCTGGTCTAGAACTCCTGACCTCAGGTGATCTGCCTGTCTCGGCCTCCCAAAGTGCTGGAATTAGAGGCGTGAGCCACCGCACCTGGCCTTTTTTTTTTTTTCTTTTTCTTTTTTTTCTTTTTCTTTTTTTTAAGAGCAAGATACACAGCTCCAATGGAGAGGACAACCTGAGTACCTAACTTGGCCTTTACCAAAACTAGAATTTTTTTTTTGCCTTACCAATTAGTTCATTATATTTCTAGGGTGTTCTTAGGTAATAGTATTGGAGACCTAATTGTTTATGACCTGAATATGTGGTGAGGTTACATGCAAACCACAGAAGCTTCATAAACAGACTTGGTTAAAAATGTACACTATGCCTGACCGTATTTACATGATAGCTTCAAGGAGGCGAACTGCAAATGCTTTGCATGCCAGAGGCAACAGTAAAGGAGATACAACAACCCTGAACAAGGCGATAATTTAGGCTTGGCCACAAGTTACAGATAAAGGAAAATCACCTGTGCCAGCGCTTGAGGACTGATCTAGCCACCCACTGCCTAATTCTAATTCCAGGTTTCAGTCAAGGAACTTAGCAGCTGGGCTTCCAGTGGTTTTCCTCTTCAGGGAGGTTTTTCAGCTACTGAGAAAAGCTGCTCGGGAGGACAGTTACTCTTCCTCCTCCGATCCAGACTGGCAGAAGGTTTATACTGGGCACATTCCATAGATTGCTGAGGTGTGTGGACCCCCTCCACTTCACAGTGCATGTATCACTGCTTGTGCTTGTAAAGCTGGCTTGATGAGTGGCCATGACACTGTCTTTGTGACAGGAATTTTCACTTTTTTAGAACATTAAAAACAAGCTTATTTTAATTATTAATTTTTTTTTTAGAGACGGGACCTTGTTATGTTGCCCAGGCTGCAGTTCAGTGGCTATTCACAGGCATGATCATAGCACACTGCAGCCTCACACTCCTGGGCTCAGGCAGCCCTTCCACCTCAGCCTCCTGAGTAGCTGGGGCTGTGGGCATGTGCCTTTCTCTTTACAAGAAAGTTTAAAGTTTTCATTAGCCCTGGCTGCTAGTGAGTCACTCTGTTAATAGCCTGGTTCTACCAGATTTCAAAAGGATACATGATTGATTACTCTGGATGAGGGATGAGGACATGAACACTTTGGTATTTGAAGCTTTGACTAGAAGTTATCTGGGTACTGCAAGAGCAGACTTCTCAACCTTGGCACGATTGACATTTTGGGGCCTGATGTTTCTTTGTTGTAGAGGACTGTCCTGTGCAATAATGTAGGATGTTTTAGCAGCATTCCTCGTCTCTATCCACTGTTCGCTAGTAACAGCCCCCTTACACCCTAGTTGCGACAACCAAAAATGTCTCTGGACGTTTTTGCCTAATGTCCCCATGGAGCAAATCCCTGCTAGTTGACAACCACTATACTAGCATGGTAGTAAACTAAACTAGCTTTGCCTTTGGAGTAGTGAAGGTGTGAAAATCTATCAGACTGACACAGCAAGAATAGTAATATTGTATTATAAAAGTAATTTATTGTCAAGTTATACTCATAGATTAACAAATAACATTATAATATCCAATATGTGCCTACTGATAACTTATTATAATAAAGATGAATTACAGACTGTACCTTCATGTATAACCTATGGTCTAAATACTGTTGTTCCTAGTTTTGAAATACAAAACTGAATCCAAGATCTAACTAGGTTCAAGCTACTAAAAGATTTATTTTGTAAGATATAGTCCCTTCTATCTGGCTTAGGTCTTCTCTACCAATATCACCTGAAGCTGAAAGCAAAATTTTCCTTCCTGTATTTGTTTCCTTACTGTGTTAGTTTCTTACAGCTGCTGTATCAAAGTGCCACAAACAAAGTGAGTGGCTTAAAACAGTCAGAATTTATTGTCTCACAGTTCTGGAGGCCAGGATTATTTCCATTTCACAGATGAAGACGCTGAGGAAAAGAGAGATAAAATATCTTTTTCAAGGTCTTTCAGCAGAGCCAGGATTCTAATCTGAGTCTTTGTTTCCAGAGGCTCAATTTCTTTATGTTCATTACTTCTTCATTTTATTTTTCTAGAATATTTCACTTTTCCCCTCATCCTATAAAGTTATTGGGGGAAAAAAGCATAGAAACTTACAACTTTTTTGTTTGTTTGGAGAAACATCTTTTCCAAAGTAAGCTTTTGTTGAGTATTTTTATAGTTTTACTGGTTGTAGGAGAAAACTAGAACCAGTACCAAATCATATTTGTGAGTTTTCCTCTGCCATTAGCTAATCTAGCATCAGAATCTGGGGAAGAGTTTCCCTTTGTTAACATTTCCTTCCTGCAGACATTTAAGACAGGAGATTTCTACTTCCTGATTTCTGGTTCCATAAATACTGTGTATAGCTTGAGCCCTGGTTACAACTTTCTAGGTTTTATAAAAAGGTTTTCAAAATTTTTAATTTTTTTTTCAGGTTTTATAAAATTTTCTGTAATAGCAAACTACTAGGTCATTATCATAAGGTCAAGGACTTAAGTTCAAATTTGGATTTTCCCAAATAGTTTGAACACCCAGTGGCTCAAAGCTGTGCAGGCTCCCTTGAAAGGTTCATGGCCTGGTTTGGTTCCATTTTTTGCTTTTTCCATGAGAATGCTCTTTCCTATTATAGAAAGCTGAAAATCACCTGATACCTGTTTCATCTGCAGAATAAACTCGTTCCTAGGGAAGTCAAGAGTATCCTGGCTAAAGGAAAGGCAGTAAAAATGATTGCAAGCTCCTTTGTTCCTGAAACACATGAAGCTTGCTTATTTCTGACCATTTTGGAATTGAGTTCTAAATTCAAGATGGCAAGATGGGGTGGAAAAGAAATGGGAGCCCTGTTTCCTTTTTGCTCCTTTTTTTCTTCCGCTGTCATTTGCAGCCTTGATTCCTCTGATGTTATGAGGTATTGTTTCCCCTGCATCTGTAAGGAGAGTTGGCATTGCTGTTAAATGTTGAAAGCTGCCACTACTGAGAAGCACAATATCGATGCCTGGGGTCAGAAAACTGAGCTCAAATCCTGGGCAAATTACTTCTCGTCTCTCAGAGCCTCAGTGTTCTATCTGTAATATGGGGATAATAACATCATCTTCATCATGGAGTTTCTGTGAGAATTAAATGAGATAATGCACATAAAGCTCTTACTACAGTGAATATGAATAGTCCTGCTAAGTAACTGATACATGCTATCATTAAGATTATTTTTGGTATTGTGTTCTCTCTCTAAAGATTTTGCCGTAAATCAAATTATTGCCCTTCTGCTTCTAGAATATTTTATTGTTTTTAAAAAATGATTTTAAACCTTTACGTAATTGCTACATAGCTGAAGGTACGGCACGCTCTAGGACCAGACATGAATTTATGGCCTCCAGAACATGAGCAGTTTAGGAATAAATGCCTTTAACTCTATGCCTTTCCCTCCTCATGAAACCCATGTCAGGCGGCAAGTGAGTGAGGAAAAACTATTGGTCAATTTTTATTCTTTATAAATTGGTGTAAATCATGTGTACACGTTGTAGTAGCAGTTTTTTTTTTTTTTCACTATTCCTAAATGACTAGGAGACACTATAACATTGTTGCTGAAAAATGTGAAATAAATAGTATATTTTTCCTTTTTATTGATGTCGTCAGTAGTGTGGTACTCCTGAATTGGAGTGTGGGGTTGCTGTATAATTTGGATAACCTTGTTACCCACTTAAGAAGCTGTGCCTGCTCTTCAGGGCTTGCTTAGTTCAGCTTATCCCAGGGAGAGAGCTTCAGAAAGGTGGTGACAGCCTCTCAGAACTGTCCATCTCCTCTTTTTCAAGGACTATGGGTTCAGAGCATCCCATGAGCAGCCACAGAAGTGCTGGGCTGTGGCATCTGGTGACCCTTGGTGACAGGGATGGGGCTTCCTGGCCCTTTTCTGGGTCACTGGCCATCTTTTTTGGTGGCAGTCATACTGATGAATGGGGATCCTCATCTCCACTATTTGTTATATTATTAACAATGAAATAGGATGTATGTGGCATGTTTGTTAGACTTCAGAATTAGCTTGAGGAACTGAGCAAGTAAGCCTATTTGAAATCAGTTTCTGGATAAATATTGTGCCTTGTTTTGCTGGTCTGAGCACTTGCCAAATTGTGGATTTCTTGACATGGGTATTTAGCTCTAATTATGCTTGGTCCACTTGTGCATTTGCAAAACATATAATTATCAGGCTTTTAACAAAATGTCAGGCAATTTAAATGGATGGCGTTCTGTTAAGAAAATAAAAAAAATAGCTGACATTTACTGTAAGTCAGGCATGATTGTAAGTGCCTTACACACAATGAGGTAATAAATGTATTATCTCATTTAATCCTCTCAACAATCCAGTCAAGTTGGTACTGTTATTCCCACTTTACAGATGAGAAAACTGAAGCACAGAGAGGATCAGTAACTTGCTTTGGTTCACAAAGCCAGTGAGTGAGTGGGTTTCTTTCTTTCTTTTTTTTTTTTTGAGACGGAGTCACCCAGGCTGGAGTGCAGTGGCATGATCTCGGCTCACTGCAACCTCCAACTCCTGGGTTCAAGCGATTCTCCTGCCTCAGCCTCCGGAGTAGCTGGGACTACAGGTGCTTGCCACCACGCCCGGCTAATTTTTTTTTTCTATTTTTAGTAAAGACGGGGTTTTACCATGTTAGCCAGGATGGTGTGGATCTACTGACCTCGTGATCCACCTGCCTTTGCCTCCCAGAGTGCTGGGATTACAGGTGTGAGCCACTGCATCCAGCCTAGAATTGGGTTTCTTACCAGACATTCCAAATCATGGCTCTACTCTTACCTGCTGTGCCATATTTCATTCCTTTAAAATTGTATATTATTCCACTAAAAACATGTTAGTAGTATAATTCTAAAACCAAATTGAAATGGAAATCAACCTCAGTCAAGTGAAAAAAAATTTTTAACTCCTTGACTTAAAATAAATTTCAGCATAAATTCAATGTCCTTCATCCCAGCAAAGTTTGACTAGAGTGTTTCTGTTCCATTTAAACACACGATCAAGTGCGACGGTTTAGGAATCATGTTTTTTAGAAGGAGAAGGGAAACAAGTTGAAATCTACAGAACACTTTTTCTCATACATATATTGGAGGAAAGTAGGAAGAATTTCCTTTGATCTCATAAACCCCATTAACTCCTGTGTATCAGTGCTACTGGGGGGGAATGTCAGAGCCATTAAATTCCTCAGAGGGATTTAATGCACGACAGTCTAGAAGAGGATCTTGGAGAGTGTCCCCAAAGAAGAATGACTTAGAAATGTCACAGAAGGCATTAGAAGATAGAGTTTCAGGATTCACAGTTGCTCAGTGTCACTAGATTCTGTATACATGCAAAGAGAAATAATGGTGAAATCCAGGTGTTTAATTTGGTGGGGTGATGGGCCATGGTGGCCTTCGGAAGCCATTTCACTGGCCTGTAAGCACAAGGGTCTGAAAAAACGCAGGCAGCTGCTAACTCAGGAAACATTTGTTGTGGCACCAGCACATTCTAGTAAATATTTTTTTCGGGACAGAAAAGCTATGTGAATGTTCTAAAGCCTATGGAAAGGAAACTACTGAATAGGTAAAAAATAAATGTCACTATCTTGAGAATATATGCCAAAAATCATATGAATATCAATGATGTGATAAATCTCAATAGCATCTTTTCTTTTAAATTAAACCTTTTTACAAAAGGAAGAACTGGAAGTGCTGCTTGGGTTTCCATCTGTCGGATTTGGGCCATAAAACAGAGTTTTAAAACAATGTAAGCGGGTACGTGAGAGTTACACCTACAGCTGGGGCTGAGAGACGTGGGTTGTGGGAAAGCTGGCTTGTGCAGTCTAACCCTTTCCCTTGCCTCCCCATCACCATCCTTCCTTTCACTATCCTGGGTGCATCTTGGTAAGCTAGCCTATTTTCCATTCCTGTTCATCCGTATTAAGTATCTAAAATGCTTGCTAATAAGGATTAAGATGAGAACTTGCCCTAAGGTATGTACATGTTTAACAGCACCTCTCTGACCACAAGGCAGGCCGTTAAAGGTCTGTATCCAGCAGAAAGACCTGTCTTGTCACTTAGTTTTTCTTCACAACTCTTTATGTACCCAGAGCTTGGGTCCAAGGAAATATCCTGGTTTAAGGAGTGAGATTGGGATCAACATTTTAAAAAAATATTTGATATGTTTCCCCAAATGTCCCAATATTATTTATTGATTAACCCATTAATTTTTTTAGAGATTTGAAATGTCACCTCTATATCCCCAGACATGTCTGTGTCAACTCGCAAACCCACTATTCTGCTTCACAATTCATCAGTCAACTCGTGCCCTTGTCCCAGTCTTTGAATTTCTGCAGCTTTACAGTATGTTTATTTTTTAATTTTTTAATTTTAATTTTAATTTTTTTTGAAGCGGAGTCTCACTTTGTCGCCCAGGCTGGAGTGCGGTGGCGCAATCTCGGCTCACTGCAAGGTCCGCCTCTCAGGTTCACGCCATTCTTCTGCCTCAGCCTCCTGAGTAGCTGGGACTACAGGCGCTCACCACCGCGCCCGGCTAATTTTTTGTATTTTTAGAGACGGGGTTTCACCGTGTTATCCAGGATGGTCTCGATCTCCTGACCTTGTGATCCGCCCGCCTTGGCCTCCCTACAGTATGTTTTAATACATCATAAGGCTAGTTTATTCTTTTTTTTTTCCACAATCTTTCTGGCTATTTCTGCATGTTTATTTTTTTTCCGTGTTTTACAATCAACTCAACTATTTCTACTCCCTGCCATCTCTCAAAAAACCCTTGCTTGTGTTTTCACTGGGTTGTGTTTAAATTATGTATTAATTTAGGAGGAATTGGTATCTTGATAATATCAAGCTTTTCTATTCATTAATTTGGGCCTTCTTCTAAAGTTGTTTAAGGTTATCTACATATAGAAGAAACCTGTTAAGTTTAATCCATATTAAGGGTTTTGTGGGTTTTGTCATAAAGTGGGTTTTGTCATAAATAAAGTGACATCTTCATTTTATATTCTAACTGGGTGTTATTCATATATACAAAAGCCATTTTTTAACACCTAATCACTTTACTGAATTCACTCTCACTTGGTAGTATATTTTCAGTCAATGATGTCATCTGCAAAGAGTTAGTTGTTAGAGGGCAGAAAAGACATTCCACTATCAGGTAGTCACTTCAGTTGCATCCTTAAGCAGCCACAGACACCTAGAGTGATGATAGCTGTCATATCTATGTATTTTTGATGAAATTCTTGTTTTTTACTTTTACTTGTAAAATGGTTCAACCTTGCAGAAAATTATCAAACATGAACATACCTATCATCCATACTTAACAGATACTTTTTGCCGTATTAGTGTCAGATCCCTCCTTTTTAAACAAAAAAAAATATATAAAACACTTCAGATTACCCAAAGTCCTTCCACCCTCAGCCCTTCTTCCTCCTCTTCTCCAGAGTACCTGCTCCGCTGAAGTTGGCATCTCTTTATTCTTGTGCTAACTACTGCAGATACATATATGGAGCTTTAGTATTTTTAAAATGTATGCAAGTTGTATGCAAATTTTTAAATGTCTTCCTGATTTCAAAGTAATAAATATATGCTCAGAATGAAAATTCTAACCTTTATAGAAATTATGGGACAGAAACTTAAAGGGCTTCATAATAATCTCCTTAAGAAAGCCACTGTTGATAATAAGGTATATCATTTTTCTGCCTTTGATGTTATGTTGCGTATAGTAGAACCAAACACTGACCTGCTTAACAAAGAATGCCCTCCAGAGAAGAAAAAAACAATCAGAATATGTATTTACCATCATATCCTGTTCTCTACTAGTAGTTCTTTATTTTGTTAAAAACAAGAAAAGAAAGAAATCTCAACAAAGGTTACTAGGACCTTAAGTGGATTTCAACAGAGGAACCCATCACTGTTTACACTTCAAGCAACAGACTTATATAGATTTGATTCAGTTGAAGCACCTGATAGGAGCTGCTGCTTGCACAAAGCAGACGCCTTGATGAGCAGCTGGTAAACTTGGAGCACATATAAGACAATCAAAGGAAGTCTCCATATAAACTTCTCCATGCAAGGAAAGATGGTTTTTCCATTTGCCCTTTTCTGAGCACTTTAACTTCCTCATTACATGTTCCAAATTGTTTCAGAGACTATATAAACCATATGTTTGTTAAACGATAGAGACAAACATGGGGAAGTCTGATTAGCATCAGCTTCCCTCAGGAAGGGGGTTTCTTTCCCAACCCTGTTTAGCCTGCTCCATACTTATTGGACATGGGGTAAATAAGCAGAGATGGGAAACGGGCTTTAAACAGCTGCACCTGGCTATAGAGTTTCTGCTCCTCTTTCTACTGAAGCACTACTGTTAAATGGAATTGTTTCTTTTTATAGTAGATTTCCTAAAAGAGCAGTAAGGAAGGTGTAAAGACCTACATTATTTATTGCATAATGCAGAAGTTTACTGGCCTAGACGAAGTAATGATATTGGATATTGGGTGATAGTAAATTACTTTAAAAACAAACAAAAAGGCCAACATGTTTCCTGCATTTTGTTTTGGACCCAGAAGTCCAGTGGGCCAAGTTCCTTGTTCAGGCATATTCAATGACACAACTATGCAGATGTGTGGAAATAAACACTTGAGGTGAAATCATATAGCTGTGATTAGGGCAGCCACAGTTTATCATTCAAACTGGACATTTGAGAGGACTACAGGCATAAACTGAGCCCAGCAGCCATCCTGGGTCTTAATCAGTGGCATTGTAGTTGTCATTGCTTAAGAGAACAATTAATAAACATTTTAAAAAAGTATCTACTTCTGTCTTTATCCCCCAAAGACAAGAAATTAAAGCATTTATGACTGAAAATTGAAAAAGAAGCTGGCTGGGTGTGGTGGATCAGGCCTGTAATCCCAGCACTTTGGGAGGCCGATTACTTGAGGTCAAGAGTTCCAGACCAGCATGGCCAACATGGTGAAACCCTGTCTCTACTAAAAATACAAAAATTAACCAGGCATGGTGGTGCATGCCTGTAATCCCAGCTACACGGGAGGCTGAGGCAGGAGAATCACTTAAACCTGGCAGGCGGAGGTTGCAGTGAGCTGAGAGTGCACCACTGCACTCCAGCCTGGGTGACAGAGTGAGACTCCGTCACACACACACACACACACACACACACACACACACTTAACTAGTTTATTCATATTAGCTTATATTCATTTTCTGTGAACCCTTGGTTTTGAATTCTATTGGGATGACTTGATAGGTGAAACCACTTTATGTTGACAACATTTTCGAATTTGAGTCATCTCAAATGATGACTTTATAGCATATTCATTTCTTTGACTTTTATTTCTTTGGAAATACCTACAACGCCTACACACATGTCATTGTTTAGGGCCTTACCCCATGTTCACAATATTAGGTTGCTTCCATTTCTCTTTCTGAAGCAGAATTGTTTTTAAACAGAAACAGGTGCCTTTGACTAACAGGTTTTTTAACTTGTAAATTGGACCAAAAGAGTAATCATAAGGGGCAGAGAGAAAATAGTAACAAAGAAGCCTCAGTTCATCCTCTTTTTCTCTTGTTTTTGATGCTGTTGTTGTTGAGGTTTTGTTATGTTTGCTGTTTTATCCTGGTTTTGGTTTTTATCCTGAGTCCTATGCTGTTCAATGCATGTCTGATATAGTATCTATACAACATGATAAACTTGTTCTGTGTTGCTAAAAATTGACTGCTTTGTTTCTAGTAAACATAGTCTTTTAAAAAATGACCGTATTTGTTTGTAAAGCGTATTATTCACCTTCCTCTTTTTATAAACATCATGTCTACTTTGATAAGTCTCATTTTGGATGTGAGAAATATTTGACATATCCAAGTGTGGGTGTGCTGGTCTGTAGGCAGTCTCAGGAGAACTTTGGAGATAATCGTGCCACACAATCTTTTAATTAATACAGATTACTATCCTAGGAACAATTAGGCTTGATCAGAAGGCAATATTTTGCTTTTATAGATAACTGCATTTGCTGTTTTTTGAGGGCAGAATCTATCAAACCAAATTTTAGAAAAGATTATAAAGTTTTTCAAGGAGCATGACAAAAGAGTGGTTGACAGGTAGATGTCCATTCTGAGGAAAATAAATTCCAGGAAATCTTGAGCAAAGTGGCCTGTTCTGAAATTCCTCCTAGTGTACTGGACTAGGCACAAGGAGTTTTCTTTTCTCTAAGCTCCCCTGACATCATTCATTTGCATTTATTATTAAATGAGGTAATTATTCGATATTCCTAGCGTATATTAGAATTTATTGCATATTCATCCACTTATGTGACAGTTATTTATTGAGCACTCTCATGTTCACTCGCAAGGGTGCAGGTGCAGAGTAGAGGAAAAGCTGTATGTCACCAGGTTCGGGATTTGCCAGGCAAATACAATCAAGGAGATGAATGTGTATGCAAGATGTGATTTAACTGGGTACCAAGAAATGCAAGCTAGCTAATTTAATATGCATGAACAAGAGGACATGAGGGAATTAAGGGGGGGAGGCGGAAGGTTGTAGAGTCAATGGGTTGTAAGAACTGGTGAGTTAAATAATGGTTGGTGTTGAGGATTAGAGGAGGTGAGTTGGAAAGAAAGGCCATGCTGGTTAGAGAGTGGTATGTTTGACACTGGGATTACAGAGAGTTTGTAGTTGATGGTAATGACAAGGACTAAGGTATAACCATGGATTTGTGGCTGAAGTAGGGCAGAAAACAAGATCATCGGAGGAGAGTAAAGTCGGGGAATTGAGGGTACAGGGTAATGGAAAGATCCTTTACAGGAGACTTCAAGAAAGAAGTAGTGTTGGGGACTTGATGTAAATGACCGAGAGAGAGAGGGAGAGAGAGAGAGAGAGAGAGAGAGAGAGAGAGAGAGAGTGTGTGTGTGTGTGTGTGTGTGTGTGTGTGTGTGTGTGTGTATGAAGAAGTATTGTTGGAGAGAGACAGAGAGCCAGCAGTGAAACTCAAGGGAGAGGATCGGAAACGATCCAGGGGTCTATAGATGACTGTAGTTATGAGTTAGAGACTGATGCCATGAGCTTCAAAGCTGATGATGTTTCAGGAGGAGGAAGTGATCATTGTATAGAAGCAGGAATAAAAAGCAAGCAGGCAGAGAGCTCTCAGGAGACGCCTTGTTCTCTAGGGAGAGCCAGGTTTCTTTTAAGGCAAGAATGTGAAGGGAGGGTTCAGAGACGAGGCCAAGTATTTAGAAGACTTTACTAGTTTCTTAAATGAGGGAATTGCATTCCCAGAGGGTACAGTGGAAGGGGTTCAGGAACCAGCTGAGGAGTGGAAAAAAGTGGGGCCAGATTGGGCATGTTCACAGTGCGATGGGAATGGGAGTGCAGGAGAAAGAAGGATATTGGGGTTCCTGAGCCTAAGCAGGAATGGAGGGCATAATGAGATTAGTCCTGGTGGTTTGTGAAACAGGTGGTGAGGCTCTGAGTGTGGGACACAAGGATGGGTTGGGTGTCTTGCCAGAAGCAAGCAGACCTCTGGGGCTCTTCTCTTCAATGCATGGTCATTTGGAGATGGGGGGTTTGGGGGGTGAGGTCTTGTTACCCAGAGCATGAGTAGAAGGCTCCTCCTTCATTCTGCAAATAGAGATGTGGAAGCTGGGGAGGTACACCTGCTGGAGCATGACCAAGATGCATGTAAGGATGCAAGGATCACTTATTATAACAGTTCCAGGATGATGTCAATACTTGAGATGCAATTTAGTGTGTTACATCCATAAAAATAGTAATTAGGTTTAATTGGAGGGGGTTACATTGATTCATAATCAGTAGATAGAATTCAAATTCCAATTCATAGTTTAAAATAAGTCATTCTTTCCCTCTCCTTCCTGCCCACTCCTTGCTGTTTCCACCAAAATGTGCCTCGAAAACTGACAATGTCAGTCTTATCTGCTGAATAATTGACGTGTTCTTTTCCCTTTCCTTTACAGTGAAGAAAGTTACAACGTCAATGATTATTCCTTAAGAGATCAGCTATTGGTGGAATCTTGTGACAATGAAGAGCTTAATTCTTCTCCAGGGAAGAACAGCTCCACAATGCTCTATTCAAGACAGAGCTCTGCCAGTCACCTCTTTACTCTGACAGTCCTTAGTAACCACGCGAATGAGAAAGTGGAGATGCTACTAGGAGCTGAGACGCAGTAAGTATATGTGGGGAAAAGATTGGAATAGCTGATAGTATCTCCCTGACCTGATTTTCTTTGGTTTACAGACTTCCTAAAAACAGCAGCTACTATTCATGTTTTTGTTGAGCACCTACTGTTCGCTAAGCACTATGACTGGGTAATTTTTACAGATGTTGTTCTTTTCATTGTAATCTTCTTACAGGAGAAGGATGTTGTTATTTTTTCCCTATAAGTCCTGATAGATGCACTGTGCTTTAGGTGATGTCTTTATTTTTATAGAGTGGTTTAAAAATCATTTTACTTTTTTCATTGACAAAAATATGATACACTATCCTTAAGGAATATGACTCAACTGGTATTTTGAGTCTAGGCCATAAGCCTTCTTAGGTAATGGAATTCAGGTCGTTTCTCAGTCACCTACCTTCAACCAGAGAGCAGAAAGCCCAATGATTTCTGTCAAAAGAGCTACCCAGTTTACGGAAATATACTGATAAATCCTCTTTCTAATCCAGAGTTTATGCACGACCAAAACAGGCGTCCTGTTGGTGCCTGCAGTTTCGCCAGCAGTTAGTGTGCACTTAGTTCTCACATTGGATGAGTGGCAGTGAGGGTTAACTTTCAAGTCCACCTTAGTGATTTTTTGGTCCACTTAAAGATGACTGACCAATGTTTTTGTTTAGAAACTGGAAACTTCCTCTTGCAATAATCATCATGGGCAGATATTATATTGGGTCAGAGAGTGGAACAGTGGAGGGAAAGGAGAAGTTCCCTAATTCTTTGTCCTCTCAGATTCCTGCCTCCAACTCCATGTCTGCCAGGGTTCCTAAATGGTGTGGTTAAAATGGATCAGCAGCTGATGAATAACAACCCTAAAATTGTAGCAAGATCTTAGAGAAAGTGATCCCAAAGAGGTATCTTCACCTTAAGACTGATTTTAACAGTGTTCCTAGATGATTAACGAGAATATTCAAGAAAAGTTATTGAAGGACACTTGCTAAAGCGCAGTAAGCTTCGCAGCCTTTATGCAAGGTCATCTTAACAGGCGTAAGGACCATTGCAGCAACGTCTCCAGTAGGGGAGAGAGATTGGGCTCAACTTCCAACACAGCATGGGCAAGTGGGAATTCATAGCCATAGGGCAGGATGGAGGTCAGTGGATGGAAACTTACTGAGAGGAAATATCAGAGATAAGGGCTATTCTGGCTAAACTAACCAAACAGGATTCTTGCTGAAGACAGGCCAGGGTAATTAGACATCATAACCTCTGGGATGATGGAGAATAATGAATCTTATCAGATATTGAGGATGGGGTAGGGGATATTCTTGCCAAATTGACTTAGTAGGGTTCTTTGCTAAAACTGGATTTTACGAAGAACTGTACAGATGAGCCTAGGAGAAGGTACAGAAATCTAACTGAAGTTTGGCCAAGCCAAGAATCTTTGTCAAGAGACATAAGAAAAATGTGAAAATTACAAGGCACCCACATAAAATGTCAAATTATTTCATATCTTTTGGCACTAGAAGTAGCATTTCACAGGCTAGAGAAAAAACCAAGGACAGGTTGGTGAAAGCTGTAGCATATTCCAAATGAGCTGGAGAGTTCACCAAGGTAATGAAAAAAGAAATATATTTCATAAGGCTACAGCTACCATAGACAGTGGTTCCTCTGATGGATCTGGGCAAAGTAAATTAAAAGCCTTCTGGAAAAGATTCACCATCGTAGATGTCATTAAAAACATTCATAATTTCATGGGAGGAGATCAACATATCAACATGAACAGGAGTTGGGAAAAGTTGATTCCAACTCTCATGGATGACTTTGAGGGGTTCAAGACTTCAGCGGAGGAAGCAACTGCAGATGCAATGGAAATAGCGAGAGAACTAGATTTAGAAATGGAGACTGAAGATGCAACTGAATTGCTGCAATCTCATAATAAAACTTGAACAAATGAGGAGTTGCTTCTTCAGGATGAGCAAAGAAAGTGAAGTTGCTGTGAGCATTGTGGAAATGACAACAAAGGATTTAGAATATTCCGTAAACTGAATTGATAAAGCAGTGGCAAAGTTTGAGACGATTGACTCCAATTTTGCAAGAAGTTCTGCAGAGGATAAAATACTATCAAACAGCATTGCATGCTATACAGAAATCTTTCATGAATGAAAGAGTCAATTGATGCAGCAAACTTCACTGTGGTCTTAAGAAACGGCCACAGCCACCCAAACCTTCAGCAACCATCACCCTAGTCAGCAGCCATCAAAAAAAAAAGGGAGCTTCATCTTCATGTGTTTGTTTACAAAACAAACAAATGCCTTTCTCTGAGATCCCAGAGTTCTTCCCCTAAAGGTGCTGAAAAGCGCTGATGGCATTCCAAGCATGCCCCTCTGTGTTTGCGGCTGTGGGGAGGTGAGCTTGGGTGGGCGTGTGCTTGCTGATCTGTGAGGTGACCAGCAAGTGACACACCCAAGACCAGGGTCAAGGGGAGGCATTACTTGAACTCCAAAAGTGGTTTAAACCTCTTGGCCAGTGAGGACAAACTAGACTTCCTTTGTGTGGGGAAACTTCTCCTCAAAACAGAATTTTTAGTATGCCTGTGCTTTGGATTTTATATGACTTTAAGGATGAGAATGACTTTAACACTTTGGAAATCAGTAATTTTCCAGTGTTCCAGAGAATTCTCAGAAACTAGAGACTTCCCTTTCCCCGTATAGTTAGTAATGGTGAAAGTGTTGCTGGTTTTGCCTTGTGTTTTCCTTTTCTTTGGTTTACAAGGATTGTTTGTTCTTTATTCAGGCCTTGCCAACATCTCAACAGAGATTTTCCTGACTGTCTCATTCATAATTTATGTAGTCTCCACCACTCATTTCTGAGATGATTCCAAGAGAGTAGGAGGTGAACTGACATGTCCAGCTTATTTCACGCCAAGGCTAGATCCTTTCCTGGGACATTCTGTAGCATTTGTTCCATCCTTTTGCCTTTTAATCTTGCCAAAGACTGAATGGTTGTTCGTTTCCTCAATCAGACATGTTCTCAGAATATTTAGTCATGTCACTTGGAAACCCATAGGTCTGACTCATATTTGTAGTTATTTAATTAATAGCAAGAGAACATTCCAGAAGGGGCATGGGACAGAGGTCTCCTTGGGTACAGAGGGAGTGACTCTCTCATTCTCTTTGCTCTCCCCACCCCCACCCTCAATTACAGTTGAGAAGTAAATAAATGGACATGCTTTCAAGACATAAAATAGTATTGGTGTTGAAAAAATATATTTAACAACTAAAGACGCACTTTCCTTAAAAATAAAAAAGACTATTAAAAAACCTGGCAAATTGTTACATGCCATGTTTGCAAATATGCAGGTTAGCTTTGGGCTACCGAGTTTTGAGCAATTAGAGTTTTGATATGCATAGAATGTGTTATTTTCTTCCAACATTTGTGAAATGCATCAATAAGTATATATTGTTTAGGTTTTCTTTCTTTTATGTCTTTTTGGTTAATATGGTTCATTGGCAATCTAGTTGAAAAAACAAGGTTTGCACTACCATTCTAGCCTTAAGTAATTGAAGAACTTAGAGTCAGGTATATAATTTCACTACTTACTCTTTGACCTGAAAAATAATGAATTTTACACCTAAATCTTTACTTTCTTTGAAAAACTGTTGTCACTAAAGGCCACCTGAGGATATACAACATGTAAAATCAGCAGTAGGAGGGGTGCAGCTGTTTGGCACAAGGACAATTCAACTTCATAAGACAGTGAAATTGTGGAAGAAAAATCAATGGCTTTGATTACGTAAAGAATGCAGAAATGCTCACCAAAAGGAGTTGGGGCAAACAGTGAGCATCTGGGATATGCCAGGCACTGAGCCAGCTATAGAACATGACGAAGGGACCCATGGGTGTTTCTAGAGGAGGACAGAATTTTGAGCTGAAGAAAGCATATAGGGAAGTGATCAGACATCTTGGTTTTCCCAGAATCAGTTGTTCAAGTTTGGGTCCGTTGTCCTGGTGAAATTATGAATGATACTCTTTTTGACTCTCAAAAGGTCCTCGTTTATACAATGAAATATATGGTGACCCTAATTATATATAATTATAATATTACATAAAACAAAATATTATCAATAACAAATTATAAATATATACACATATTTATAATTATATACATGGTCCAACTCTCTCATTTTCTTCCCCCATGTGAAGTGACTCACAAAGGCCATACAGGAAGTGAGTTATTGCCAAAGCTGGAACTAGAATCTGGCCTTCCTGACAGTCTAGCAGTCTTTCTAGTAACAAATTTTATTCTTTTTACGGAGAAGCTGCCAACCAGTAGGCTGTTCCACCCCCACTTTGCTGCTCAGTTTGGCTTGTTCTGGATTTGGAAGGAAACCTCCAGGAAGTCAGTCGCTATTAACTGTGAGAAACTACTAAAATATAGAATTTTTTAAGTCCAAAGACTTTATTATTTTTTATTTTATTTTATTAAGACAGAGTTTCACTCTGTCGCCGGGGCTGGAGTGCAGTGGCACGATCTCGGCTCACTGCAACCTCCCCTTCACGGGTTCAAGTGATTCTCCTGCCTCAGCCTCTCAAAGAGCTGGGATTACAGGTGCTTATCACCATGCTTGGCTAATTTTTTTATTGTTAGTAGAGACGGGGTTTCACCATGTTGGCCAGGCTGGTCTCAAAACTCCTGACCTCAAGTGATTTGCCTGCCTCAGCTTCCAAAAGTGCCAGGATTACAGGCGTGAGCCATTGTGCCCGGCCTCAATCCGTAGGCTTTAAAAAGGAAAAAAGATTGTGGAAACCTAGATGTTAAATTTAGGATATCATATGGGTTAGAATATTTTATGATAAAATGCTAAATAGATATTGCATCCCCAAAATTATTTTCCATGTTAAACTTCCTTTTTTGTTCCTTTGCCTGTGTTTTTCATACTTCCTGGAATGCCCTCTTCAGGCCTCCTCAGATGGCCAGATGGCTCCTCTTAGGGCCCATGTCAAGCCTTTCCTCTGCTGAGGAGCCTCTCAGTACTGCACACTGCAGTCTCATCTTGAGAATGCCCAGTGCTCGCTGTGTGTGCCACTCATTAGTTCACTTTTCCCCTCATGTTTTCTGTCTCACCCACCCTCCACTGTATGACTCCAAACTCCCAGCCTCCTGCTACATCCTTCCTTTCCTTTACAGAACTTCTCAAGAGAGTGGCCTTCATTTCTCCAGATTAATTCAGTGGATTTTTGTCAGGCACCTACTTCCCATCAAGTGTTATTCTCAGTGCTGGGATGTAGCAGTGAACCATACGGAGATCAGATCTCTGCTCTTAGGCTTATATCCAAGTGAAGAACCGATCCCCTTGGGCTTCCTGCTCTTAGGAAGGGTGACTTTGGATGGAAGGGAGCTTTGGCCAGTCTGCCTGGGCAAATGGTCTGCAATGAGCTAGGATGATGGGAAAGTATTTCTTCATGATCCAGTTAAAAATAAAGGATCATTTCAGGTAGTGGTAAGTGCAGTGAAGACCCTAAAGCTGGTGATGTGATCCGGAGTGAGTGCTAATTGGGGGGTGGTGAGGATAGGTACTCTAACTTAGGTGGTGCAGAAAGACCTCTCTTAAGAGGTGATATTTGAGCCTTGAGTGAAAAGGAGGAGTCAACCCTTAGGAAAATGCAGAGTCAGAATGTTTCAGCCAAAGGGAACAGCAGGTGCAAAACCTCTAAGGAAACGAATTTAGTGTTCTCAAACTTGGCTTGAACATGGAGAATGTGGCTGGAGCAGAATAAACCAGGGAGAGGGGTGGCAGTCAATGGGCAACAAAGTCCAGTTTGTCTTCAGAGCTACCCCAGTGCTGTCTGTGGGCCATCAGTCCTCAAGTAGTTACCAGCCTGGTATGTAGGAAGCAGTTTGACATTTCTGAGGCATCAAAACTTGTGATTATTTTAACAATTAATTTATTTTTACTGTATTTCTAAAAATGCTTGGTCTGCAATGGATTCAAGGGGTGGAGACTGGTTCTCTACCAGAGATATCTCGAGAAACACTGATTTAGAACCACATAAGCCATAGCAGGAAGTTCCAGGAACAACAGGGGCCCTGGGGACAGAAGTTTCAGTGGGGCAAACAATAAGAACCCTAACCCTAATCCTGTTGGAGTAGTCGAGGGGAGTCCCGATGTTGGCTTGGACCGTGATATGTAGGAGGAGATAGAAATGTTATATTTTGGAGACAAAAACAACAGGACCAACTGATGGATTGGATGAGTTGAGGTGGCAGTAAGTGGAAGAGAGGAATCGATGATATTTAGATTTTTGGCGTGAGCTGCTGGCGTGAGCTGCTAGCTTGAGTTGTTTCTTAATCAAGGTAGGGGTACGTGCAGTGAGTTGTTAGCTAGTTGAGTTGTTTCTTAATCAACCTTGGCGTGACTTCTTCCTCTGGCACCCTGTTGAGGCCTCTCCATCAGATTAACAGGCTTCCTAGTTTCACACCCAGCAGTCCAATCTTCCTTTCTTTACCTCTAGTATCATTTAGTTTTATTGACCATCCAGCTCTTTCATGCTAACCCTTTTTTTGAGATTATGTTTTTCTCAGCCTCTTATCTATGCTCTTAGTTTGCCTCTCACACCTATGACCATTCCTCTTCTCTGTCTCTTCAGAAATGCAGCCTGTCCAAAACCAAACATCAACACTGCCCGTGGCTTTCCCCGACACACACATTTCTGTAAATGGTACTATTGACACTCTTTTGCGTTATCCAGTCTGGAGACTTGGTGCTGTTTTTGATGCTTCTGTGTCAGAACAGATCCATCACCTGCCAGTTCTTCCTGTGTAAAAGTCTATTTCATCTTTCCCCATCTTTCCATTCCACTGCCTCCTTCCTAGGTCAACCACATGGCTTTTGAACTACCCCAATGGCCTCCTAGCCATTCTCCTCTCCCATCAATACAGTAGTTTTATCACTAATCCCTAAGCTCAGCTCTAGTTTTGTCCTTTCCTTGCTTTGTACATAGCGAGTAGGTTCCCAATAAATATTTTTGGGATTGACCCATAATTATTATAACTAGCTTTTCTCTATCTGAGACAAGGTAGAAGAGTAACCAGGTGTGGAGAAAAACTGCTTCCTGTCTCTATTTACTGCCCTTTTTGTTACTGCTGGAGCAGGTTTTTCCCAAATTTTACTTGTTTTTCAATTTTTTGCTATTAAGGATTCAGTCAAATGTTTTTTAGGATGTACGTCGAAGTCATGTATACTGTGTTATATCTGTTTGTCCATGACAGGCCCTAAGTCATGGTATCGTCAATGAGACAATACTCTGTGAAAAATACAGAAGTCTACCCTTTATAAAAGGACAAAGGAAGAATGTTTTACCACTGTCATTCTTTTTTCCCTCTGGGCCTTTCAAGAGGAATGTGGGAGCCAGAGAGCCCCCTTTGTCTGCCTTCATTAAAATGAAGCACAGACAGCTGCAGCTGGCACACACAACAGGCTGTGGCAAGTGGAGTCCTTGGCTTCCTGCATTTGCAGTAAAATTTAGATGTCATTTGGGTGTAGTGTATACCGTCATGAAACATCTAGGACATGTTCAGTGATGAACACAAACTTTCCTCACTCATTATATGTCAGTTATAGGATATGATGACCTTAGCCCATAATCAAATATCCTTCTCAAAATTTCTCCCTCACAGAGCTAGAAGCATAATGAATGTGGTTGGTGCTGTCAACCATCCAGACACCAATTCCTGGGCCTCCTGATAAAGGGGCATTGTTTGCAGGGAGTCTTTGAGCTTTTCCTGCTTCTGTTAATGATTTAATTAACAACAGGAAGTACATGGAATGGAATAAAATTGTAAATAGTATCTCTGACATAGTCATATACTTCATCCTTTTAGAAAAATCACAACATAAAGACAGTATACATGGAAACATTTTATTTATTGTAGGGTATAGCATTTTTTTCCTTGTTAAATCTAAATTCTAAGTCCAGTCATAATCTTACATTTATCTAGTGCCTGTCAAAGGATCTGATCTTAATGTGGTCCTCATCACCAACCCCAATAGGACAAGAGGTCTTTTATCAGCAGGAAAACATCATTGACCCGCTTCAGGTTAACTGAAGGACTCTGGACCAGATTTTTTAGGTCTGAGCTAATGTAATATGATAAACAAGAAATAATTGATTTAACTATATAGCATGTGACAAAAATCTAAATTTTAGAACTCTTAGTGGGCTAGGGATATTATTTTGCTTCAGTTAGATTTTTTAAAATTTGGCAAATTGAACTGATATCTAGTTTTTTAAGGCCTGGTCTCAGCATTTTTAATGACTTTTTTTCACGCTATGGGGCTTTCTTTCATGGATCAGTTTTCTGAACTAATCTAGTTGAATTGAGTTTGTGAGGGAATGAACAGAAACAACTATCTTCACAATCCTATTCTTTACAAAGGTTCGAAGGACTTTAGAGAAATCAAAAGGAACCACAGGTAAATGTGTAGGCTGTAAAAAGAAACACAAAAGGTAACTGGTCAAATGCCACTTTGGGAGGGATAAAAGGAAGGTTAAAGAGCAACTAAGGGCTATTTTTTTCTATTGAGAAATCAGAAAACCCTGTTAGTGATGGAGTCCTCAGCCAATGTTCTGTTCTGTGCAGCCTCACCTGCAGCCCTGTCTCTGTGATTTCAAAGCCTACTTCCTACTTTCTCAGTATGTATCTATGTTTTGTAGCTGATGCCTGGTATTCCATAAGAAGTGAGACTTTGCTGTATCTTTGACCTTCATGCAATTAAGTTAAACCTACTGTGCATAATGAATTATATGAGAGACAGGACAAGGTGCTACCATAGCTGATAGGAAACTGTAGAAACATCATTTCATGCCATGCATGGAGAACTTGAGGGTTATGAAAAGACTACATTTATAGACATTTAAGTTAAAAGAGTCTCTTTTCAATTTAGTCGTCTTTCTCTACGTAGGTCAAATGTTTTGGTAGAGTGTTCCATTTCAGCACACTGCATGCTGTATTGGATTTTGTGAGTGTTTTCTGCTCTGTGTGTTCCCTCATACTGAGGGCGGTAAAAAGCAAGGGACTCCAGTGTATTTGCTGTGCACCTCTCCAAGCTAGCCCAGGGCCTGTGCAAAGTGAATGTGGGTAGAGGAAGGAGTGGTAAGGCGAGTCTTCAAAGTTGATATGCCACAGATGGGATTCAGTGCAGCATTGCTTACTCTTGTCACTTTGTGCAAAGGGAAAAGTCTGTGAACTGGCTGTGTGGTAGATTGTGAATTCATCTCAATTGTTTTATATCGATACGTCCCTGGAGAAAATAGATGTCTGTGAGTGAGCCCTAGACTTCATGTCTAAATTTAATCGTGGGTAAGTCTATGCCCTGGTTTTTCCTGTCCCTAGAATCCATCTTATAACAACTTAGTTCCTGCTTTAGAGATGTAGTACTTTCTGCTTCATAGCTGGGGGAGCTCCTTAGCAGGCTCTTTTTTTTTGAGACGGAGTTTTGCTCTTGTCGCCTAGGCTGGAGTGCAATGGTGCACTCTTGGCTCACCGCAACCTCCGCCTCCCAGGTTGAAGCAATTCTCTGCCTCAGCCTCCTGAGTAGCTGGGATTACAGGCGTGCACCACCACGCCCAGCTAATTTTGTATTTTTAGCAGAGATGGGGTTTCTCCATGTTGGTCAGGCTGGTCTCGAACTCCTGACCTCAGGTGATCCCTGCCTCGGCCTCCAAAAGTGCTGGGATTACAAGTGTGAGCCGCCCCGCCCGGCCTCTTGGCAGACTCTTGAAAGCCCCAGGGGAAGTCCTGTGGATTTGACAGCATCTAAGAGGGGGGGGTGGGACTCACTCAATTGAAAGTCTCAAAAAGCTGCTCCTTTTAGTGATAGCAACAAGGAGTGTCTTGTTCTATCCTCTGGAGTCCCTGTGAGGGGTGGCCATGTCTAAGAGATGCTATTAGCATCCAGGCAGCATGCCACAGAAGTGAAAGATTTCATCTGGACTTCTGGAAACTGGCTGTAGGGCAAAGCCACTGCTGATACTGGCCACTCAGTGCCAGAGACGGTGTCTGTGTACAGGAAGATCTGCCTCACTGGCTCCAAGTTGCTCTAAATTGCTCCAGAAGACAGCAGTATAGGCTATGTATAATTTGTTTCAGTATGGCATAGAGAGACACAAATGGATCATTTTAGATTTCTCTTGGTGAGCAACACTTCTATTCATGAGGTATTTTGTTTTCGATTGGCTTTGTACTTTGCAAATTCCACTTGAGCCTGTGTAAAAAATAGATCTTATTCCCAATAAAGACATCATAGCAAAGATACAAGTGTTTGCCTGGGAATTATTTTACATGAAGTTGTGCTTTGCTTATTTCTTACAGAACTATTGTAAAGCCCTTTGTCCTGTATTAGAGAGAGAGAGAGAGAGAGAGGTTTTAAAAGCAAGACAGGAGCCTTGGCTTCTATATAAATTGTGCATATTACTACTTGACACACCATCTTGATCAAGGCCCAGCCTCATCTTAATCTTTGAAAATGCCTGTCTTTCAAGATACCACAGTTTCCACCCTTCCTGCCTTCCATCATTATTTTGTAAACACCTGCTGCGTAACACCACCTCTTTGATTTCAGACTGCCTGGGTTAGGTGCTTAACATACCAGACTTGCTTTGTCCTCTGAAAAAAATAGAAATAATTTTGGTAATATTTTCTTTTCAAGATTGTTGTAAAAATTAGATTAGATGATACTTGCAATTGTTTAGTACCATACCTGACACATAGGTGCTTCAGAATATTATTTAGAACAAGGCCCAATTCCTGCCATTCTGGAGTTTATAGCCTGGTAAGAGAAGCAGATGAGTCAGTAAATGATTGGGCTCAATATGTGATGAGTTATATAATTCATTCATTAGCAGACATATACTGAGCCCCTGTTACGTGTTGGGCAATGTTGTAGAGATAATGCAGTGAACCAAATGGATAAGCTGCCTGCTTTTATGAGGCTTACTGTTGACCAGCAATATAATAGAATTGTGCAGAGGGGTGCCCTAGAAACAGGATTATCAGACTGGGATGGAGATGGAAGGATTGGTTTATGTATCAGAGGAGCCCCCACTGGAGGAAGTGAGCCTTGTGTTTTCAGCATTGAGTGGATATATGTTGAGCAAAAGAAGCCAAATACAAAAGCATACATACTAAAGGATTTCATTTGCAAAAAGTACAAAAGAAGCATGGTAATAGAAATTCCATGGTAATGGAAAACAAGAGCAGTCACCTTTGGACAGAGGTTATTGATTGGAAAGGGTCAGAATGGAAATGCCTGGCGCATCTGTGTCTTGGTAAGTAAACACAGAGCTGTACACGCTTATGATTAACTCAGTTTATGTTATGTATGTTAAGAAATTTTAATGGCAATAATGAGTGGGCTTATCTACGCAAAAACAGGGAAGGAATAGGAAAGGCTGGGGCAAGGGTGCTATGTTCCAATGCGGTAAGTCATCCTCTCTGCCTGGGTTGGAAGGATGCATATGGGGATGAAGGTGGGGTGACAGCGACAAGCATCTGTAGATTCAGGCTGCTATGAGAGAAGAGTTTTTTTCCCCAGGTGTTGGTCATGAAGGCATTTTTTCTTAAGAATGTAGAGTGGCACAGTAGAAACTGACTTTGGTTTGAATTGCTTGCCTCTGAACTTCTGTCTGATCTTAGCATCCTTCAGATGGGCTTTTGAGAGGATTACATGGAATAGTGGATGTTGAGTGCAGTGTCTGACATGTAGCATGTGTTTAATAAATACATAAGAGAGTTAAAAGTATGTGTGTGGCGGGGCAGTATTTAATTAATTGTAATTTTAATACTTGGTGCTCAAAATAAAAAACCAGGGTGACTGCATTATGTAGAGAAGTGCTTGCTTATCTGAAACTTTTGATCCTTTAGTTGAATAATTATTTTTATGTAATTATAGCTTAATATTATATTAAAAGTATTGGTCATTTTTCCTGTGCTCATTAAACCATTTTAAGCATTTGGGAACAGTGTAAAAGTGGCCAAAGAATTTCTATTTCAGTAAGACTCATATTTGGCAAAATTAGTTGTATGAGGGATGAGACAACTAAATATGTCAAGTTTCTCAAGTTTACGGAAAGGTTTGAGTGTGTGGGAAGGGAAGTGGGGAGGAAGCAGAGAAATTAGTAGGATTTTTAAAAAATGAAACTTAACTGCTTTTGAAATGTTAAACATCAAATTATGGGTATGCTAAATACCTTTTGGAGTTATAATGTGTTCGTGTAATCAGCTCCTTATTAACTTTTAAACTGTCATATGGGAAGTTCCTTTTAATCAATAATGAGCCAAGTTCATTCAGACTCTTTTGACAATGATGACTAGTCTCCTGCTTATTTTAGACTTTCCAGCTTATCACTTTTAAACTACTCTCACCCTGTTTTACCATACCTCTCTAGAGAATCTCTTGTTTTCTGGGAGTGCCTTTGCATTGGCTGCCTAGAAAACACTCCATTCTGTGTTTTTACACCTTGAGTCTCTCAGTTGGATCTGCCCTCTGTTTTAGGAGCGAGCGAGCCCGCTGGATAACTGCCCTGGGACACAGCAGCGGGAAGCCGCCTGCAGACCGAACCTGTAAGTTCTCTCAAGGGGAAGCCCACTTGGGAACATGGATGGGCTCTGCCCCCTGCTGGACGCCGGGTTACTAACGAGTTATATTGCCACAATACTTGCCTAAGTTTCCTCCAGGGCTTCCTTCTGCTTTACACCAAAAATGTATGATCCTTGCTTTGGAAGTCAGGGGGTCTGAATTCAAATCCAAGGTGCATTTCTTTGTTGTGTAAACGTGTCAAATCATTGCTTAGCATTGCAGAGCCTATTTAACCATCTGCAAGTCAGTTACACCATTATATACAACATGGGGTTATTGTGAAGATTAAGTTAAATAATCTATGTTAAAAGCCCTACTTGAACTGTAAAGCCCTTAAATTTTTAGCTATTATCAGTGGGCAACAGTTGATCATGTTTAAACCTTCTACATACTGACAGTCTGGATTTAAGCTGAAAAGTATTTTTAATCTAAAAGAAAATTACCTAAGAATTCTTTTTGACCTTCTAAGAAAGTGTGTTTCACTATTCTAGAGAATTAGAAACTGGCGCAGTGAAGGGGGGTGTTGTATGCCTATTAGCTTCCTAACTTTGATGCTGTGGTTTCTTAGATTATTACAGTTGCAAGGTCAAATCCAAAGAATTAGAACAAAACATTGTTATCCTGGAACACTCAAAAATTATAGCTTTAAGCTTAGATTAAAAGCCAAAATGACTGGTTTGAAAGTTCCCGGAAATCAAGCTTTGTATTAAAAAGCAAATTAAGAAGTCACATGTCAGCATTTTGTTTGTTTGTTTTGAGATGGAGTCTCGCTCTGGTGCTATCTCAGCTCACTGCAAGCTCCGTCTCCTGGGTTCATACCATTCTCCTGCCTCAGCCTCCCAAGTAGCTGAGACTACAGGCGCCCGCCACCATGCCCAGCTAATTTTTTGTATTTTTAGTAGAGACGGGGTTTCACCGTGTTAGCCAGGATGGTCCCAATCTCCTGACCTCGTGATCCGCCTGCCTCGGCCTCCCAAAGTGCTGGGATTACAGGCGTGAGCCACCGTGCCCGGCCACATGTCAGCATTTCTGAGGAGGTCTAACATGACTTCTCAGCTTTTGGTTGGAGCTCATTTTATTTCTAAACTTTTTTTTGGAAACTTTCATGTGCTGCTGTTGGGATGGGGAGACACTCTGATGAGAGCCAGGAGAACTGTGTCTGTTGCAGATTTTGCATGGCCTTGGCACATCAGCAACTCTTTCATGTCTCAGTTTCCCTAATGCAGAGTGGCTGTTTTCTGTTCCATTGTGTGACATGACTAATGACTCCTGATCAACCTGTTATTGAGGGGAATCATGCATCATAAAAGGCCTCTCAAATCTGAGCTTCTAAAATTCTAAAGCTTATAGCCAAGCAAGGGAGTTGCTAGAAAAGATGTTCTGCTTTTTATTAGAAGCCCAACTTGTTTCTCTCAATGCTGGCCCTGAATTGCAGAGAAAAATAAGTAAGTGTACATTATTGGATTGCACATGTTTTTTCTCTGCTACTGGAAACTTAGTATGTCCTCTTTTGGCCTCAGCACTGACCCAGGTGGAAATCGTTAGGTCATTTACTGCTAAGCAGCCAGATGAACTCTCCCTGCAGGTGGCTGACGTCGTCCTCATCTATCAACGTGTCAGCGATGGTGAGTGGGAGCGTTCTTATGGGACACTCGTGGTCCAGGATGCAGAGTGCTATAGACCCGAGGAGTGTCATTTTGTCATCATTGCCCATATTCCAAATCTTGACATGTTAATGTTTGAGATCACATATATGTACTGTCTTCTCATCTCTAAGGCTAAACCATGACGTTTTCTTTTTTCCCCAGTCCCTCAGTGACCCAGTTCTTATCTCTAAATATTCGTCCTTTCAAAAATAGCATTCTTCCTGCTATCCTTTACCCAAAGCATCTCCTTTCCCAGCTCAGCCCAGGTTCAAATACTCTCAGCCTTCTCACTTCAGGGCCTCTGCTCACGTTCTTTCCCTGCCATGTCATTCATTCCCCCTCGAAAGCTTTCCCTGTCCCACTTTCTCTTCTCACCGTAGCACTTAGCCTGGGGAGGGATGCTGCCTCTCAGCTTTTTCATATCCTTGGAGCCTGGCACACTCCAAATACTTGTTGTTTGGTGTGGACTCTGTTCTTTTTCACAGGCTGGTATGAGGGGGAACGACTACGAGATGGAGAAAGAGGCTGGTTTCCTATGGAATGTGCCAAGGAGATAACATGTCAAGCTACAATTGATAAGAATGTGGAGAGAATGGGACGCTTGCTAGGACTGGAGACCAACGTGTAGTCTCTCAGATGGTCTTTTGTTACTGCAAGATTTGCACGACACTTACCGGGCTGGTTGGTTCTGGGCTAGTTTTATTGTTAATTTTGTCACAGCCTATTTAATTAAAAGAACGAAAACACTTGCCTTTAAGCTTGCCAGGTTGTTCTGCTCTCTCATGAGAAGAGCTTGGATACAGTGAGTTTGCACAGCTCAGTTTTTACCTAACCACACACTTGCAGACCTCCTGAGGTACACAGAATAGCTGAGCAGTTCACTTCAGGGATCAGGTCATCTCTGCTCCTCCTAGTTTCACCATGTTCTGGCAATAAAAAACACATATTATATCCTGGTTTTCTCTATCCTTGCATTACTAAGGTGACTGTCTCTCTTTATACATCCTTGTATGGTTCTCCCAGTATTAGCAAGATTGTATATCTGTAAAGAATGTCCAGTTTTGTAAATATTTCCCTGCCTTTTTTTTTCTTTTTTTACATCTGATTTTAATGCTTCGTTAACTTCAAAAGGAACTGGTAGAGTTCAGAAGGTGAGCTGTTGTTTTTCTAAACCTCTTCCCAGGAAGGGGACATTGACACTTGAATTTTTGTCACCTTTTTCCTCATTAGAAGGAAAGTAGAAAGCCTTACTTTAGGATTTTTAAAAAAAAATCCATCTCACCCCATATTGTTCTTAAATAAGTATAGACTAATTAACCTAAGCTACCTTTAACAACGTAGAATTTAGATGGGTTCATATATGTGAGAAAAACCTGAATATAGGACAGGGGTCCTACTTTTTTCCCCACCTCTGTCGCCCAGGCTAGAGTATAGTGGTGTGATCTTGGCCCACTGCAACCTCTGCTTCCTAGGTTCAAGTGATTCTCCTGCCTCAGCCTCCCAAGTAGCTGGGATTGTAAGAGTATGCCACCACGCCCAGCTACTTTTTGTATTTTTAGTAGAGACAGGGTTTCATCATGTTGGCCAGGATGGTCTCTTAACTCCTGCCCTCAAGTGATCCACCAGAGAGGAGATCCTCGGCCTCCCCAAGTGCTGGGATTATAGGCATGAGCCACCGTGCCCAGCCTACTTTCTAATTAATTAAAAAAAAAAAAAAAAAAAAAAAAAAACCTTCCCAAATGAGCTGATAAAAAACTGACGTGAGGCTGCTTTGCCTTCAATAATACCTAGTTTTCAGCTGTTCCAACTCGTTTCCAAATAGAAATTAGCTGGAACACACTACAGTAATCTCAAGGAAGGGAAAATTAGGCCTTAAAAGATACCAAGAAGTCAGCATGGTACCCAATTGAAACCTTTTGACCTTAGTGGGAATTCATTCTATTTGCACTAAAAGCCTTAACTTGCTGTATTCAGAGTCCCTCTTAACTGTGAGTTTCTATAGAACTTTACTTTTTCCACTAGTGCACAGAGAGAGAAAGGTTATCTTAATAGTCGGTTTCATGGAGATGAAGGATGGGAGATTAAGAGGGGGGAAATGATTTTTACTGGCAGCTATATTCCCTCTCTGTTCTATTTGCTTTAACAAAGGGATAAAACCTGGCAAAGTGTACATTATTGGAGGACTCAAATCTGTATGTGACATGTCCCAACTACTGTCCGCTAACTAGTTATCCAAATTGTAAAGCTACAGAAGCCCAGTTGAGGGGTAAGTGTGCCTGGCTCACACAGCCTGCACCCTGTCACCTCGGCAATGAGCCAGTGTGGGGCACTGGGGACTTCTAACCCTTGGATTGCTCTTTTTGACCTGTGCATACCTTCTAATTGTAAAATATATTTCAGACCGTGAGTACCTTGAGATCTGAGCAACTGTGTTAATGAAGTAATAGCAATGGTCCACAGTGAAAGATGTGTTGGGGTTTGCAAAACAAGCATTCCGTCACCTCTTTAATAATGTCACAGACTTTTTAAAAGAGAGGCTATCAAGTTGTAATATAATCTGTCATGTTTTATTTAGGAAGGAAGGTAAATTTGTGCTTGCACGGGGATCATTTTGTATTATTTTTGCTAATACCCAGTTGAAGCTAAAAAGCAACTATTTGAATCCTGTGAATTAATTTATAAGAATGTTAAACAGCTTTGGAAATACATGCATCTTATGAATCATAGCCTTATTTAGCAAGATCAATGTTAAAGTGTTGTTATATGGCAAGTATTTAACACATTCACAGTGTTTGTTTGATTTCAACTGTGAATTGTCTTAAGTTTTTTCAAACCTAGTTGTTTCTATGGACACCTGCTCTGAATTGTACATTGACTTCATTACTAAAGAACAAAAATGTTCATTTTTGTCCCAGTAAATTGAGACTGCTTGTACACTTTCAGAAAAATATGTGAATTTATAAAGATTTTGTAGATACTTGTCCTTTTGTGCTGGTGTGATTTATTTTACTCTAGGTTGTTTTCAGTTAAGTATACAGTTTCCTGGGTTTTTGGCCAAATCAGAGCTCTATTTAAAAGGTATCTGTAGCTAACATTTCAGAGGACTAATCTTTTCTCTTTGGGTACATGCTGGCATCAGCTGCCCTAGAAGACTAGAACATTTTTAGGAGATGGGTCATGCTGTTTCTTCTCGTAGTTGGCATAAACCTGCAGGACTAAATCGCTTATCTTACATAGTGCACAGTTCCCTTATCCCCTGGAGCATATTCTACCATTCATTTGGTCACCTCGTATCTGAACCCTTGTGTTTGTGAAATTTTACCACCTTGTGAACCTTGGTAGAAGTAAAAAAATGACTTCCTTGACATTAGTTTTTTTTTTGCTGCATAACAAATTGCCACACACTTAGTGGCATAAAACAATACCCATTTAATATCTCACAGTTCTGTAGTCAGAAGTCTAGAATAGCATGGGTGGGTTCTCTGCTTAGAGTTTCACAAGGCTCTAAGTGTTGGCTGGCTGCTTTCTTACCTGGAGCTTGGTGTCTTCTTTCAAGCTCATTTCTGTTATTGGCAGGATTCACGTCCTTGCTGTTGCTGAGCTGAGGTCCTTGTTTGCTTGCTGGCTGTGAGCTGGGGGCTGCTCACAGCTTCTAGAGGCCCTTCATATCCTCGCCACAGGCTCCTTCCATCTTCAAAGCAGCAATGGCATGTTAACTCCTTTTCTCACTTGGAATCTGTTTGACTCCCTCCTAGGCTACCAGCGGGAGAAAACTCTGCTTTTAAATAACTTCTTACATAATTAGGTTAGACTCATGAGATAAGTCCCTTATGACACTAACTCAAAATCAAATGATTTGGGACCTTAATTACATCTGCTAAATTCCTTTGCCATGCAATATAAAATAATTATGGATGTAGTATCAGGGAGGGATATTGGGGGACATCTTAGATTTCTGCCTATAACACCTTCTATAAAACCTTAAGATGTTTGAGGCTTAGAGTTTCCAGCATCTCTTGCAGCTAAGATACACCTAGCTATGTGATAGGAAACAGCAATCAGCTACCTCTATCTTAGAATACACCACTCAAAGCCTTCTTTCCTGGATTTTCACTCAAGCTAGTGATGGAAGAGGAAAGAGGTAAGGAATACCATCCCTGGAAGTAGCAGGATGCATCCTCCTATTTGCTCCATCCCCTATCTGAAATCGCTGATGCATTTTTCCTAGGCTTTGGCAAGTACCAGAGAGGCAGAGCTACTTGGTGGACTTGCAGTGCTAAAAAATAATCCAGGTCAGTGTTTAGTACCATTAATAACACTTCTCATGGATTTGGTCCCTAAAGGGCTTATTCTCCTGTGGGAGTATGAATCTGAAAGATCTAAAGGTTTGCTTTCTGAGTTTTCAGTATATTAAAGTCCTGGAAGAAGAAAACACATCCTGTCTCTGAAAGAAACCAGCATCATCAGAACTAAGACTTCTGTTACTTCTAAAAGCAAATTGTCAAAGTTTCAGTAAACACTAAGACATGGCATTGTGATCCAGAAAAAAACAAACACAGGGACTCTGTATACTAGAATCATTAGGTATAGACATTAAAGTACTTACCATTGCTGTTGATGGAGATAAAGCCATAACGGAACTACACAGCTGTGTAGTAGAAGAAAAAAACCTAGAAATTATGGAACCGCGTTTAATGCCAGATTAGGTAAGAGTTAAAAGAGATATTGGGGAACGGGAAGAGAGGCTAGAAGATTCTACCCATAAGGAAGCATGGAGAGAGGAGACCTGGAGAATGTAGGGATTTAACTGGAATCCCAGAGGAGAGTGGAGAGAGAAAGCAGCATTGGCAAGGGGCTGGACCTTTATAACCCTGCTCTGACCAGATATGAGAGGCAGGCTATCCCCAGGAAAAGAGAGTGGTCTTGGATAAGGTGGCTCCCTTCAGCTCAGGACAATTCCCATAGAGGGTTGATGGGTGAAGGCTGTCATCCAGTTGCATTCCCAGCACCTAAAGCAAAAAGTCCTTCAGTCCTGATGGGGGGTCAGGGCAGAACATCACAACGTTCACTAAATGGAGCTCTATCAATGTTACATAAAGTGGTCTTTAGGGTAAAAGGTATCACTAGGGATAAAGTGGGTGCCTACATAGTGATGAACGTTTCATCTAATCAGGAAGATGGAGTAACTTAAATATATATTCTAGCAATAACCTAGCATATTTAACTATATGGCCTCAACTAAATAAAGTTGGCAGAAATATAAGAAAAAATAATTAAAATCATAGCATGAGACTTCAACACATCTCTCAGTATTTGATAGGAAGAATAGATACAATCAGGAAAAGAATAGAAAATTTTAATGAAATAGTTTAACATAATGGGAATATATAGGACACTCTGCAAACAATTTCAGCATATACATACTTTTCAAGCACATAAAATATTTACAACATTTGGCTATTCCCTGGGCCATAAGGCAAATTCCAACAAATTTTAAAGAACTGAAGTTATGCAGAGTGAGTTCTTTGATGGCAACATAAGTAGGTCAGAAAACAAAAATTAAGAATTATCAATTTATTTGGAAAGTTAGGCCTTTCCAAATGCAAAATTATAAAATTCCTTGAAGATGACATAGGAGACAATCTAGGTGACCTCGGGTTTGGTAATGACTTTTTATCTACAACATAAAAAGTATGGTCCATGAAGAAAAAAAATTGGTAAGTTGAACTTTTACAGTAAAAACCTCAGTTCTGTGAAAGACACTGTTAGAATAAAAAGCCACAGACAGGAAATATTTGCAAAACAAAGGATTGGCAATCAAAAACATACAGAAAACTTAAAACTCAACAGAAAAACAACCCAGTGTTCAAATTCAGGGGTGGCGGGGGGGGAACTAGGCAACTCACCAAAGATAACACAATTAGTAAATAAACATATGAAAAGATATCTAAGATCATACATGAGGGATGAATTTAAAGGAGATGCCACTATATTCATTAGAATAGCTGAAGTCTAAGACCCTGAAAATACCAAATACTGATGAGGATGTGGAGCAGCAGGAACTCTTACTCACTGCTGATGGAAATGCAAAAACAACTTGGGAAGACAGTTGGGCAGTTTCTTAGAGAAATACACACCTACCATATGATCCAACAATTACACTCCTTGGTATTTATCCAAATGAGTTGAAAATATGCCCACAGGAAAACCTGCACATAAATGTGTATAGCAGCTTTACTCATAATTGTCAAAACTTGAAAGCAACTAAGATGTCCTTCAATAGATGAATGGATAAACTGTTACATCTATACAATGGGATATTAATGAGCAATAAAAAAAAGTTATCAAGCCATAAAAAGACATGAAGTAACCTTAAATGCACATTGCCAGGTGAAAGAAGCCAATCTGAAAAGCCTACACACTTTATGACTCCAAATAAATGACATTCTGGAAAGGCAAACCACATAGAGTGGTTGCCTGGGACTCAGGGGTAGGGAGGGAAGAATAGGTAGAGCACAGAGGATTTTTTAGGGCAGTGAAAGTGTTCTCTGATACGGTGATAGTGGATACATATACATGTGTCAAAATGTACAACACAAAGAGTGAACCCTATGTAAACTACGGACTTTAATAATGAAGTATCAAAATTAGCTCATTAATTATAACAAATATAATCCATAATACAAGATGTTAATTTAAAAAAACTGGTGGGAGGGGGTAAAGGGGATTATGGGACCTCTGTACCTTTTGCTCAATTTTTCTGTAAACCTAAAACTGCTCTAAAAAGTGAAGTATTAATTTTTAAAAAAGAATTGCTGAAGAAAGTTTTTCAAAGTAAGGAAATAACAGAATGAAACTTGGAAGATGAGGAATGAAGAACAGAATGGGTAAACATTTGGGTAAATATAATAGGCTATCCTTGAGTTTTAAAAATGTGAGATGGCTGAAAGCAAAATTATATTATCTGACATGGTTGTCAATGTATGTAAAGGAATTATTTAAGAAAATAAATTATAAAGCAGTAAGCTAAATACCTAAGTGGCTGTAAAGTTCTTACATTTCACTAGAAGTGTCAAACTGTTGATACTAGTCAACTGATGTTATATATGTATACTGTAATCCACTGAGCAACAAAAAATGTATACGAAGTGATATATTTAAAAACACAATAGACAAGGCAAAACAGAACAGTAAAAAATAAGAAAAAAATCAGGTACCCACAGGAAGGCAGGAAAAGGGAAACAGGAAAGAAAAAAATATATAAAGAAAGCAAAAATAGAACAGCAGACTTCACTCCTAACATGAATGAATATATAAAATTTGAGTGTCTAAATTGTAATTAGAAGACAGATTCACAGAAACTTTAAAAATTACCGGACCATATGCTATCCATTCAAAACACATTTCAAATACAATAAATATAGGTAGGTTTAGAATAAATGAAGGGAAAAACATGTCAAGCAAATACCAATCCAAAAAAAAAAAAAAAAAGCTGAAATGGCTATACTAATATCAGACAAAGCCTTCAGAGCAAAGGGAATTATCAGGCACAGAGGGGGACAATATATAACGATACAAGGGTCAGTATGCCAAGAAGACATAAAAATCTTAAATATGTATGCAGCAAGTAATACAGCTTTAAAATACATGAAGTACAAACTAGGACAGAATACATGAACTAGAATATATGAAGTACAAAACAGAACTAAAAGGAAAACATAGACAAATGACAATATAGTGTTAAGAGTATAGAACAGGATTTCGAAGATGGCCGAATAGGAACAGCTCCAATCTACAGCTCCCAGCGTGAGCGACACAGACGGGTGATTTCTGCATTTCCAACTGAGGTACCGGGTTCATCTCACTGGGACTTGTTGGACAGTGGGTGCAGCCCACAGAGTGTGAGGGGAAGCAGGGCGGGGCATCGCTGCACTGGGGAATCACAAGGGGTTGGGGAATTCCATTTCCTAGCGAAGGGAAGCCATGACAGACAGTATCTGGAAAATCGGAACACTCCCACCCTAATACTGCACCTTTCCAATGGTTTTAGCAAATGGCACACCAGGAGATTATATCCCATGCCTAGCTCAGAGGGTCCCAAGCCCATGGAGCCTTGCTCACTGCTAGCACAGCAGTCCAAGATCAAACTGCGAGGCGGTGGCGAAGCTGGGGAGGGGCGTCTGCCATTCCTGAGGCTTGACTAGGTAAACAAAGCGGCCAGGAAGCTTGAACTGGGTGGAGCCCACCACAGCTCAAAGAGGTCTGCCTGCCTCTGTAGACTTCACCTCTGGGGACAGGGAATAGCTAAACAAAAGGCAGCAGAAACTTCTGCAGACTTAAACATCCTTGTCTGACAGCTTTGAAGAGAATAGTGGTTCTCCCAGCACTGAGTTTGATATCTGAGAACAGACAGACTGCCTCCTCAGGTGGGTCCCTGACCCCTGAGTAGCCTAACTGGGAGACACCTCCTAGTAGGGGCCTACTGACACCTCATACAGGTGGGTGCCCCCCTGAGACAAAGCTTCCAGAGGAAGGATCAGGCAGCAACATTTGCTGTTCTGCGGCCTCTGCTGGTGATACCCAGGCAAACAGGGTCTGCAGTGGACGTCCAGCAAACTCCAACAGACCTGCAGCTGAGAGTCCTGTTAGAAGGAAAACTAACGAAGAGAAAGAAATAGCATCAACATCAACAAAAATGACATCCACACCAAAACCCCACCTGTAGGTTACCATCATCAAAGACCAAAGGTAGATAAAACCACAAAGGGGGAGAAATCAGAGCAGAAAAGCTGAAAACTCTAAAAACCAGAGCACCTCTTCTCCTCCAAAGGATTGCAGCTCCTCGCTAGCAACAGAACAAAGCTGGACAAAGAGTGACTTTGATGAGTTGAGAGAAGTAGGCTTCAGAAAGTCGGTAATAACAAACTTTCCCGAGCTAAAGGAAGATGTTCGAACCCATCGCAAGGAAGCTAAAAACCTTGAAAAGGATTAGACGAATGGCTAACTAGAATAAACAGTGCAGAGAGGTTCTTAAATGACCTGAAGGAGCTGAAAACCATGGCACGAGAACTACGTGACACATGCACAAGCTTCAGTAGCCGATTCGATTGAGTGGAAGAAAGGGTATCAGTGATTGACGATCAAAAGAATGAAATAAAGCAAGAAGAGAAGTTGAGAAAAAAAGAGTAAAAAGAAACAAACAAAACCTCCAAGAAATATCAGACTATGTGAAAAGACCAAATCTATGTTTGATTGGTGTACCTCAAAGTGACGGGGAGAATGGAACCAAGTTGGAAAACACTGCAGGATATTATCCAGGAGAACTTCCCCAACCTAGCAAGGCAGGCCAACATTCAAATATAGGAAACACACAGATGCCACAAAGATACTCCTCGAGAAGAGCAACCCTGAGACACATAATTCTCACATTGACCAAGGTTGAAATGAAGGAAAAAAAAATCTTAAAGAGCAGCCAGAGAGAAAGGTCAGGTTACCATAAAGGGAAGCACATCAGACTAACAGCAGATCTCTCAGCAGAAACTCTACAAGCCAGAAGAGAGTGGGTGCCAATATTCAACATTCTTAAAGAAAAGAATTTTCAACCCAGAAATTCATATCCAGCCAAACTAAGCTTCATAAGTGAAGGAGAAATAAAATCCTTTACAGCAAGCAAATGCTGAGAGATTTGTCACACCAGGCCTGCCTTACAAGAGCTCCTGAAGGAAGCACTAAACGTAGAAAGGAACAACTGGTAGCAGCCACTGCAAAAACATGCCAAATTGTAAAGACCATTGATGCTAGGAATAAACTGCATCAACTAACGAGCAAAATAACCAGTTAACATCATAATGACAGGATCAAATTCACACATAACAATATTAACCTTAAATGTAAATGGGCTAAATGCCCCAATTAAAAGAAAAAGACTGGCAAATTGGATAAAGAGTCAAGACCCATCAGTGTGCTGTATTCAGGAGACCCATCTCACCTGCAGAAACACACATAGGCTCAAAATAAAGGGATGGAGGAAGATCTACCAAGCAAATGGAAAATAAAAAAAAAGCAGGGGTTGCAATCATAGTCTCTGATAAAACAAACTTTAAACCAACAAAGATCAAAAGAGACAAAGAAGGCCATTACATAATGGTAAAGGTATCAATGCGACAAGAAGAGCTAACTCTCCTAAATATATATGCACCCAGTACAGGAGCACCCAGATTCATAACGCAAATCCTTAGAGACCTACAAAGAGACTTAGACTCCCACACAGTAATAATGGGAGACTTTAACACCACACTGTCAACATTAGACAGATCAAGGAGACAGAGTGTTAAAAAGGATATCCAGGAATTGAACTCAGCTCTGCACCAAGCAGACCTAATAGACATCTACAGAACTCTCCACCCCAAATCAACAAAATACACATTCTTCTCAGCACCACATCACACTTATTCCAAAATTGACCACATACTTGGAAGTAAAGCACTCCTCAGCAAATGTAAAAGAACAGAAATTATAACAAACTGTCTCTCAGACCACAGTGCAATCAAATTAGAACTCAGGATTAAGAAACTCACTCAAAACTGCACAACTACATGGAAACTGAACAACCTGCTTCTGAATGATTACTGGGTAAAAAACGAAATGAAGGCAGAAATAAAGATGTTCTTTGAAACCAATGAGAACAAAGACACAACATACCAGAATCTCTGGGACACATTTAAAGCAGTGGGTAGAAGGAAATTTATAGCACTAAATGCCCACAAGAGAAAGCAGGAAAGATCTAAAATTGACACCCTAACATCACAATTAAAAGAACTAGAGAAGCAAGAGCAAATACATTCAAAAGCTAGCAGAAGGCAAGAAATAATTAAGATCAGAGCAGAACTGAAGGATATACACAAAAAACCCTTCAAAAAAATCAATGAATCCAGGAGCTGGCTTTTTGAAAAGATCAACAAAATTGATAGACCGCTAGGAAGACTAATAAAGAAGAAAAGAGAGAAGAATCAAATAGGCACAATAAAAAATGACAAAGAGGATATCACCACTGATCCCACAGAAATACAAACTACCATCAGACAGTATTATAAACATCTCTACGCAAATAAGAAAATCTAGAAGAAATGGATAAATTCCTGGACACATACACCCTCCCAAGACCAAACCAGGAAGAAGTTGAATCCCTGAATAGACCAATAACAGGTTCTGAAATTGAGGCAATAATTAATAGCCTACCAACCAAAAAAAAGTCCAGGACCAGATGGATTCACAGCCGAATTCTACCAGAGGTACAAGGAGGAGCTGGTACCATTCCTTCTGAAACTATTCCAATCAATAGAAGAAGAGGGAACCCTCCCTAACTCATTTTATAAGGCCAGCATCATCCTGATACCAAAGCCTGGCAGAGACCCAAGAAAAAAAGAGAATTTTAGACCAGTATCCCTGATCAGTCGAGGCAAAAACCCTCAATAAAATACTGGCAAACCGAATCCAGCAGCACATCAAAAAGCTTATCCACCACGATCAAGTTGGCTTCATCCCTGGGATGCAAGGCTGGTTCAACATACGCACATCAATAAACATAATCCATCATAAAACAGAACCAAAGACAAAACCCACGATTATCTCAACAGATGCAGAAAAGGCCTTTGACAAAATTCAACAGCCCTTCATGCTAAAAATTCTCAATAAACTAGGTATTGATGGGACGTATCTCAAAATAATAAGAGCTATTTATGACAGACCCACAGCCAATATCATACTGAATGGGCAAAAACTAGAACCATTCCCTTTGAAAACTGGCACAAGACAGGGATGCCCTCTTTCACCACTCCTATTCAACATAGTGTTGGAAGTTCTGGCCAGGGAAATCAGGCAGGAGAAAGAAATAAAGGGTATTCAATTAGGAAAAGAGGAAGTCAAATTGTCCCTGTTTGCAGATGACATGATTGTATATCTAGAAATCCCCATCATCTCAGCCCAAAATCTCCTTAAGCTGATAAGCAACTTCAGCAAAGTCTCAGGATACAAAACCAATACGCAAAAATCACAGGCATTCTTATACACCAATAACAGAAAAGCAGAGAGCCAAATCATGAGTGAACTCCCATTCACAACTGCTTCAAAGAGAATAAGATACCTAGCAATCCAACTTACAAGGGATGTGAAGGACCTCTTCAAGGAGAACTACAAATGATTGCTCAAAGAAATAAAAGAGGACACAAACAGAATGAAAGAACATTCCATGCTCACGGGTAGGAAGAATCAATATGGTGAAAATGGCCATACTGTCCAAGGTAATTTATAGATTCAATGCCAACCCCATCAAGCTACCAAAGACTTTCTTCACAGAATTGGAAAAAAACTACTTTAAAGTTCATATGGAACCAAAAAAGAGCCTGCATTGCCAAGACAATCCTAAGCAAAAAGAACAAAGCTCGAGGCATCATGCTACCTGACTTCAAACTATACTACAAGGCTACAGTAACCAAAACAGCATGGTACTGGTACCAAAACAGAGATACAGACCAGTGTAACAGAACAGAGCCCTCAGAAATAATACTACATCCTACAACCATCTGATTTTTGACAAACCTGACAAAAACAAGAAATGGGGAAAGGATTCCCCATTTAATAAATGGTGCTGGGAAAACTAGCTAGCCATATGAAGAAAGCTGAAACTGGATTCCTTCCTTATGCCTTATACAAAAATTAATCCAAGATGGATTAAAGACTTAAATGTTAGACCTAAAACCATAAAAACCCTAGAAGAAAACCTAGGCAATACCATTCAGGACATAGGCATGGGCAAGGACTTCATGACTAAAACACCAAACCAAATGGCAACAAAAGCCAAAATTGACAAATGGGATCTAATTAAACTAAAGAGCTTCTGCACAGCAAAAGAAACTACCATCAGAGTGAACAGGCAACCTAAAGAATGGGAGAAAATTTTTGCAATCTACCCATGTGACAAAGGGCTAATATCCAGAATGTACAAAGAACTTAAAGAAATTTACAAGAAAAAATCAAACAACCCCATCAAAAAGTGGGCGAAGGATATGAACAAACACTTCTCAAAAGAAGACATTTATGTAACCAACAGACACATGAAAAAAAGGCTCATCATCACTGGCCATCTGAGAAATGCAAATCAAAACCACAATGAGATACCATCTCACACCAGTTAGAATGGCGATCATTAAAAAGTCAGGAAACAACAGGTGCTGGAGAGGATGTAGACAAATAGGAACACTTTTACACTGTTGGTGGGACTGTAAACTAGTTCAACCATTGTGGAAGACAGTGTGGCGATTCCTCAAGGATCTAGAACTAGAAATACCATTTGACCCAGCCATCCCATTACTGGGTATATACCCAAAGGATTATAAATCATGTTGCTATAAAGACACATGCACATGTATGTTTATTGTGGCACTATTCACAATACCAAAGACTTGGAACCAACCCAAATGTCCATCAATGATAGACTGGATTAAGACAATGTGGCACATATACACCATGGAATACTATGCAGCCATAAAAAAGGATGAGTTCCTGTCCTTTGTAGGGACATGGATGAAGCCAGAAAGCATCATTCTGAGCAAACTATCTCAAGGACAGAAAACCAAACACCGCATGTTCTCACTCATAAGTGGGAATTGAACAATAAGAACACCTGGACACAGGGTGGGGAACATCACACACGGTGGCCTGTCGCAGGGTGGGGGAAGAGAGGAGGGATAGCATTAGAAGAAATACCTAATGTAAATGATGAGTTAATGGATGCAGCACACCAACATGGCACATGTATACATACGAAACAAACCTGTACGTTGTGCACATGTATCCTAGAACTTAAAAAAAAAGAAAAAAAGAGTATAGAACAGAACACCAACACATGGGATATAATTGACATTTACAGTGTACTATCCAATAACATAAGATTATCCATTTTTTAAATATAGCTAAGGGATATTCACCAAGATAACCATATTCTGAGTCATACAACAAACTGACCAATTTACAAGGACTGAAATCATACAAAGTATTTTCTCTGACCATAATGGAATCAAGCTAAAAATTAATAATGGACAAGAAAATCTCCAAACACTAGGAACTTATAACAGCACACTCACAACTAATCTATTTATTAAAGAGAAAAATATATAAAGAGGGAAATAAAAAATACATTGGCTAAATGACATGAAAATACAAAATATCAACATACATAGGATGCAGCTAAAGCACTGCTTAGAGAATTTATAGCACAAAAAACTTGTATTAGAAAAGAAATCTAATCTTTCACCTCAAGAAATGAGACAAAATAAACTCAAAAGAGCAGTAAGAACTAAATAAGGTTAAGTGTAGAAATCAATAAAATTGAAAACAGAATACGTGAGAAAAATCAATGAAAAATGAATATATCATTAAAGATCCCACATTACAGACATTAAAAAAATAATAAAGGGGCGTTACAAAAAACTCAAAAATTTTTTACTGCTTCCCAGGCTTCTGATCAATACAAAAAATCTTTACATACATAAATTCAACAACTTAGAGAAAATGAACCAATAAAAACCACAAACTACCAAGACATTGAGTAATCTCATAATTACTAAATAAACTCACAATTTAAAATAATTTCTGAAAAAAAATCTCCAAGTGCAAATGGTTTCGTTGGAAAATTCTACAACCATTTAAAGAATTAATGGCAATTATGCATAATGTCTTCCAGAAAACGTAAGAGGAAGACAACAGCTTCCAACATATTTTATGAGGCCAGCATTACATTATTAAAACAAAAGCTACTATAGATTTGTATCTTTCCTGAATAGAGAGACAAAAATCTTCAGCAAGACACTGCCGAATCCTATCCAGCAATATATTTAAAAAATTACACACTGAGACCAAGCGGGGTTTATTAAAGAAATGCAAGGATTACTCAATATTTAAAAATCAATTGATGTGACTGCTATGGTTTGAATGTGTCCCATAAATTTCATGCATTGGAAACTTAATCCCCAAATTCATATGTTGATTGGAGGTGGGCCCTCTGTGAGGTAATTTTAAGCTTAGCTAAGTTAATCAGGGTGAAGCCTCCATGATGGGACTGGTGGCTTTATAAGAGACTTGAGATGACACACACTCTTGCCCTCTAGCCATGTGATGTCCCCATTTGTGACACAGCAAGAAGGCCTTCACCAGATGCTGATACCTTGGTCTTGGACTTAAGAACTGTAAGAAAAAAATGTGTTTTCTTTATAAATTACCCAGTCTTTGATATTCTGTTACAGCAACAGAAAATGACTAAGACAGCAATCTACAATATTAACAAGCTAAAGAAAAAAACATATGGTTACTGTGCCAATTGATGCAAAAAAGAATATTTCGAAAAAATAAGAAACTATGGCTAAAAGTCATCTTCAATATTGTTTTATGCCATTTTTTATTTTGTCATTATTAATGTGTATCTGTCAAAAGGAGTTTTTTGAGACAGGGTCTTGCTCTGCTGCCCAGACTGGAGTGCAGTGGCTCACTGCAGCCCTGACCTCCCAGGCTTAAGCAATCCTTCCATCTCAGCCTCCTGAGTAGCTGAGACTACAGGCACATGCCACCATGCCTGGCTCATTTTTGTAATTTTTGTAAAGACAGGGTTTCACCATGTTGCCCAGGCTGGTCTTGAATTCATGGGCTCAAATGATCCACCCACCTTGGCCTTCCAAACGGCTGGGATTACAGGAATGAGCCACCACACCTGGCTAAAAGGACGTTTTATTTAAGTTTGTTAAACTAATTTAAAATTTTAAAATATTTAGAGATCTAGTATGTTGGCTTCCATTTATATTCTTACTTCAGACACCACAAAAACGTTAGAGATAGGTCTGTTTTGCCTTTGCTTGAATAAACAAGAAAAAAATTGGCTTCCAGAACAAGTAAAAATAATCAAACTCTCTCATTTAACAGGAGAAACAGCCATTAAGAGAAAAGTGAGGTGAATGGAAGCTATGGGAAAGATTAAGTATTGAAATATTTAAAAGGGCCTAAAAGATAAAAGTCACCAAGGAATCACTTTTTCATTAAATTAAAGCTTTGCTAAAGTTAATTTTATTCCCAACCATGATGTTCACTGTGTAAAGGTAACATAATATACTACATAAGGACTCAGAAATAGAAAAATACAACTCAAAAATTTATACCAGACCATTAAGATATGAATCAAATTTAAGAACCAGAAAAAAAAAGGTAGTCACAATTTAAAAGTTCTCTATCATCCACAGTAGATCGCCTCTACAGTGCTTCCATATCAGCTGTTTTCCTTATCTCCAATGACTTTCCCAATACTAATAAATATTTTTTCTTATGTCCCATTCTTCACCTCATGATGAATACACCTCTTGCCTTCATAACTATATAAAACTGGTGCTAGTCTCTCCTGGCACTTAATAACACTGGCTTAACTCTTTACACTTTACCAACCAAGTCAAGAGTAACACATCTGGCCATTATAAATCTCAAGGAATGTAAATAACAACTTTTTGTATCTCTAAAATTAATTAGTAATCTTCCTTCTCCGTAGTCAGATATATCCTTAAAACTCCAATCATTTGACATGAGATGAAAAATCAAAACCCAAACAGAAATACATAAGATAACTAAGGAAAAAGCAAACAACATGAAAAGATGCTCATCATTAATCATTTTAGAAACAAAAATTAAACCATAATGGGACAGGACTCCTCATCCACTAAAGGCTAAAATTAAAACGACAGCTAAAAATACCAAGTACTGGCAAGGATGTGGAATACTCTGACCCCCCCAACACACATTGCTGTTGGGAATGTAAAATTTCAGCAAATTCTGAAAACAGTTTAGCAGTTTCTTATACAAACACACTTACTATAATACAACAACCTTAATCTTAGGTATTTACCCAAGACAAATGAAAACATATAACCACACAAAGACTTATATACATATGTTCATAGCAGCTTTATTCATAACAGCAAAAAAACTGAAAACAACTCAAATGTCCATCAACTGGTAAATGAATTAACAAACTGTGGTATAACTATACAATGCAAATACTACTGAATAGAAGATAAAACAGGAACTACCTACTAATACATGTAACAATATCAGTATCTCAAAAGTATTACATTAAGTGAAAGAAGCTGGACACAAAAGACTGGTTATTTGAAATTCTAGAAAAGGCAAAACGAAAAGTGACAAAACGCAGATCAATGGGTTTCGAGGGGATAGAAGTGGGGGTGAGGGATTGACTACAAAGGGGTAAAAGGGAAATTTTTAGGTGATACAAATGTTCTATATCAGCTGGGTGTGGTGGTTCACGCCTGTAATCCCAGCACTTTGGGAGGCCGAGGCAGGTGGATCATGAGGTCAGGAGTTCGAGACCAGCCTGGCCAACATGGTGAAACCCCATCTCTACTAAAAATACAAAAGTTAGCCGGGCATGGCGGCGCGTGCCTGTAATCCCAGCTACTCAGGAGGCTGAGGCCAGAGAATTGCTTGAACCCGGGCAGACGAAGGTTGCAGTGAGCCGAGATTGCGCCATTGCATTCCAGCCTGGGTGACAGTGCGAAACTCCATCTCTGGGGAAAAAAAAGTTCTGTATCAAGATTGTGGTGGTGGTAATTACACTACTATATGTTTGACAAAATTCACTGAATCATATACTTAAATTGGTTAATTTTATTGTATATAATATCTTAAAATTTATTATATATAAAATAATACCTAAAGTTTATATATATCAAAATGGAACAATGGTAACATGATTTACTTTGCTACATTTCCAAATATTGTCCAGGGAGGATGTATTATTTTAAAATCAGAACAAAAATCCCATTTAAAAGCAATTAGCATATTAAAAATATATAAGTATACATGATCACAATGACTTATAAATAAATACAAACTCAGAGCTAAGAACAGAAGGAAATTTACCACTATTTATTTTGGGTAAAGGAGTACTAAAATTCCTCCTAAAGCTTTTGTATAATTCATAACTTTTAGGGGAGGACTTTGTTTTAAAAATGCAGTAATAGAGAATGCCTTGCAACAATTGGTGTAAGTTTATCTAGAGCTTTTGCCCAAATTAATTAATTGGGAAGGCATCACATGTGCTCACTGTTCAACGATGCTTTTGAAAGATTATTCAGTAGTTTAATTTCTTTTGTTTTTTTCCTGAAAGTTTCTGTTTCAGGTTTTTTTTTTAAGAGTTATTCTCTGCATTACTCAAAATGATGAATCAAACAGATTTTCCTTCTTAATTTAATGTCTTATTCTTTAAAATCCACTAAAGAACAAACAGTTCTTAGACCTGGAATGTATTTTCTACTCAGTAATGCCCTATTTTGTAAACAAAAGAAACAGAATGTAAGTAGCACCTTGGATTAAAATGTCCAACCTAATCAGCTGTGCAGAAGACATAAATTGGAGGTAACAATAACTGCTTTAATCTCTGTGAATGCCTCATCAATTAAATAATTCCTCAGGAACATTTTCCCCATTCATATGGGAATTACATACTGGTTTGCAAACACAGAACCAACTAATAATCTTTTTTACAGAATCTCTAAATCCTTTCTTCCAAGACCATTTTGGCCAACTGACTGGATTTAAACTGGATAATAAAAGTAAGGGAAAAAAAAGCACAAACAGAAACTCTTACAGAGCAAGAAAGACCAGATGGTCACCTCGACGTTAGAGGCAAAACCAGTATGCTCTAATATTGTGACATGACTCTAATGCCAGCATTCAATGACAGACAGATCACTTTTAGAAGAACAGCCAAGATAAAGGATTTGAGACATAACAGGTAACACACATTCCCAGGATTGGGAGCAGTACCTGAACAAGTGCTGTTAATGGATCACTGTAGCATTATCAATACATCCCAGTCATTGTATGATACTATTAACTCTTTCGGTTTCCTTGCATTTATTGGAAGGCACATTAAAATTTGCATTCTTTGGAGTGCAGCAAGATGCTTTTCCTGTTTCTTTCTGCAGCATGTCCAGCACTTTTACACCTTCTGTCAGACAAATAGGTTAAAACTCTTACATTGCAAAATCAAGAGTATAATACTCAGTGATGGATAGTGTATGTTTCTGATTAATACCCTTTTTGCCAAGTTAAAAATACCCTACTAGGGACCGGGTGCAGTGGCTCATACCTGTAATGTCAGCACTTTGGGAAGCCAAGGCGGGCAGACTGCTTGAGCACAGGAGTTTTGAGACCAGCCTGGGCAACATGGTGAAACGGTGTCTCTACAAAAAATACAGAAATTAGCTGGGTGTGGTGATGCATGCCTATAGTCCCAGCTATTTGGGAGGCTGAGGCAGAAGGATCACTTGAACCCAGGAAGTCGAGGCTGCAGTGAACCAAGATCACACCACTGCACTCCAGCCTGGGTGACAGGGCAAGACACTGTCTCCAAAAAACAAAAAACAAAACAAAACAAAACAAAAAACCAACAAAAAACTAACAATATCCTATTAAAAGTGGCTTAAACAATTGAAGGGTTTTTATTATATCAACATAAGTCCACATGTAAAGCAGCTCTAGAATGGGTTAATTCTGAAGCTTACCGGCATTATCAAAGGCTCTGGTGAGTTCTATCTTTCCACTGAGCTAACCTCAGTCTGAGTCCGTGTCTCCTTGTGATCATTAGTTGGCTGCAGCAGTTCCAACTATCAGAGTCAGAAAAGACAATGTCCAGAGAGAGCAGGATTTCCTCCTCTAAGCCTATTAGTGAGTAAAACATTTTTCAGACACCCCCTTGAAGATCACTTCTCAGCTGCCATTCACTAGGACATGTTTATGTACTCATGCCTTATCAATTACTTATAAGGGGGATAAGACCACATGTGATTCATTTAGAACAGCAGGATTCACCCTTAGGGAAAGGGTCCAACATACCTGGACACAGAGCTGCACAGAAGGGAACACCAGAATAAGCAAGCAAGAAGGGAGGGACAAAATAGTTGCTGGCCGGCAACCAACAGTATTTATCACAATCTGATAGGGCTGAAAATGTACAGCATGTGTTGTTACACTATTCCTTGGCGAAGAAGATAAGTAGCAATAAAATAAAAAGTGTAATATAATAGATTGTTAGACATTTACGAAAATATTTCAGGGACAAATAACAACTAAGATTCAGAGAGTACAGGCACTAGCCTATGTGCTTTACATGTATTAATGTACTTCATCCTCACAACTGTTACATGTACAGTTGTCCCTCAGTATCTGTGGGGGACTGGTTTCCAACCCCAACCCCTCAAATACCTAAATCCATGGATGCTCAAGTCTTTTATAATAAAATGGCGTAGTATTTGCATGTTACCTAGGCACAACCTCCCATATTCTTTAAGTCATCTCTAGATTATTTATAATACCTAATACAATGTAAATACTATATAAATAGCTGTTAAACTGTATTGTTTAGGGAATGACAAGGAAAAAAGTCTGCACATGTTCAGTATAGACACAACCATCCTTTTTTTCCCCAAATATCTTCTATCCACAGTTGTTTGAATCCACAGATGTGGAATGCATGGATATGAAGGGCCAACTGTATCTTACAAGATAAGGAAAAAGGAGAGAAGCCAAGACACTGACTAACTGACAGAGCTGAGACTGGAACTGAGGTAATCAGGCTCCAGACCGTGCTCTCAATTGCTGTATTATGAGGCACAGGGTGATATAAAAAGGGCACGTGTTTTAAAAATAGTAAAAATATCAAATGAACCAAGCCATAGGTGAAAATGTAGAAACCAATCCAAGAGGTTGGCTGAGATTTAACATTGTACATTTTATTAAATACTGGACTTTATTACAACAAATTAATTTACTTCCGATAGAAGTTTCATTTTAAAAAATGTGGTTGTGTTCAAATTCTTAATTGACACTTGTTTTGGGGTAAACATCCTATTTTTACTGGTGGTATCATCAATCATTATGAGCAGAAAGATTAATTTTGTATAACAGAACAAAGGAATTTCTCAAGTGGTACAATACTCAATATATATAAAGGGAATATACTCCCAAAGAGTGGGCATGACCACAGCAGAGTATATGATCAGAGAACATATTGCTTTTATGGTATATATATATATATATATATATCTCTACATATAACATCAAGTCATGCACATTAAGTCTTTACTACCTACTGAAGGCTTCTACCTTACACATGAAAATTGTTCATGTCCCAGGGTTTGGCATCCAGCCAAAATTTAAACAATGATGAAGAATGGCTGTCAAACTGGCTTTTCAGACCACCCCTGAAAAGCTGTCAGCTGTAATATCCATCCTGGAATCGTGGCGGAAAGTTCCTGGGAGTTGCCTTTTCCTGTGTTTTGATCAAGTCTATAATAGCTGACAGTACTGCACAGTCTCTGGATTTAGTGTCATTCCAGTCTACAGGATGAGGACTTTCAATCTTCTCTTGCAGAAGAATATCTAGTTCCTTTCTTAATTCCTAAGGTTGGAAAAATTATACATGTTCAACAAAGGCAGATATATTACCAAATAACATAATAAATGAAACTAATTTACCTGATACAAGGAGTTTCACAAGCGATGGCTCAAAAGCTAAAACATTTAGTGAGCAATCAACTAAAGTGTGGTTATGAGTGAATAACTAAAGTGCAGTTAAAATTCACACTGCAATCACACTGAGCCATTTAGAATGGCTGGTCTGTTACCACCTCAAAACACAATTCAGAAAAACCAGGAATCATTTTTTCAAAATTATTTGCTCTGCTGAAATAGAGCAAGAAATGTTAATCTATTTAACAGTTAGAACAAAACCACATGACCACATGCTGACTTACATGTAGATTTAAGATAATCACATAAAGTCAGTCACCTTAACAAGATGGGCAATTCTTGCTGGAGACTGAAATACAATCCACTCATCTACAGCAATAGTTTCCTGATCGTTATCCTTCTGGATGGAAATGTCACCTCCAAAAAACAAGAGACAGTATGGGGAAACCTCTGTGCAGTCATACAAGTATATCTGTAATGAAAATTAAAGTGAATTAATACATTCAGGAGTCTGAAAAGATTACTATATAAATTCAACAATATTACCAGTATTAATTAATGAGTATCTTCCTTCTAAAATATTAACCTTCTATTGTAATTACAGAGATTTGTAAGAAATACCATTTTAAATGAGCCATCTTCATTATTCAGAGAACATAGGTATTTTAATATTTTTTAGTTTAAACTAAGCACTACTCTGAACAAAATATTTTCTGAGTGACAAAAGCAAAACACTAATGTTGCCGAAGTTATTTTTATCCAGTTTTTTATAAATCATCTCAAATTACTGTTCTAAAGAGAAAAATATAAATAAACAGAATCTCAACATGCTGAACAATACTTATAAGGTATACTGACATGCTAACAAAACTTTCTATACAATGTAAACTCCTGTACACCATAAAATATGCCAATATTTCTTGAAAGCAAGTTCTGAAAGAAAATTATGCAATCAAATAACTGTCCTAACTAATTAAAATACAAAGATCCATCATTACAGACCTGAAAATTAAAAGAATAGGTTATTTGTTAGAGGGAAAAAGTTACTCACGTCACAGGAATAAGACACAACAAAAAAAAAATTTTGTATATAATTGTTAAAACTACACAATCATAAAAATACAATGAGACTGATAATCAGATCCTTAATTATTTTAAATGTTCACTTACACTGCTTGTTCTCATCTTTAGGTGATAGATAAGCCAGTTGTAGTGAAAGTCTGTTTGCTCCACATTAACAGATTTAGGATGAACAGCAACCAGGCCATCGGTTTTTGTGTAAACTTTTACCCTTTAAAAAAAGTTAAAATGCAGTTTGTTAAAAAGAAGTCTTCTAGAGGATTTTCTTTTTTTACACTACTTGAAAAACTGATAGAAGAGCTTGGTAAAAACCAAACAAATCCCGGAATCTAAAAAAATTCCAGAGAATAATTCAGTTTATTTTTGCAAAAAAATATATTTATATTTGAGGACAGAGCATAATTTCCTTAAAAATATATGAAAAAATGCTATCAGTATGAATAATTTAAATCATGTAACTAATCTTCTTCTTGCAGGTATAATTACTCAACATTTTAGAAAAATGGCAGAATATTCTTTTCCTTAATGTTAATGCACACTATACCACTGAAGAATAAATAACAAAAAAGTACCTAAAATAATTAAGTGATTCATACCAAGAGTTTATACATTTTACTATGACAATCATAATACTGATAAACAGCCCTTGATTTACAAAATAACTGTAAAATTATCAACTTAAAAATTTTACAGAGTATGACCCAGATGAATAAAAAATGAAAAGTTAAGAATTCTGTTTAAATTCATGTTGACAGTTCTAATTCAATCTCTCAATTCCTAGGTCATTTTTTTTTTGATAGTCATACACATTTTATCTCAATTTGTAAAAGTCTTTAGTATTATTCAACAGGGAGATGTTTAATAATTTATTTTTAAATAGTTAATGTTAATTACCTGTATTAACTAACAGCATAAAAGCTAATAATCCACTAATCTTTCCTATTTGTTTTTACGAGTGTCTCTTTCGAAGTTTTTTTTTTTTTTTTTGAGACGGAGTCTTGCTCTGTCACCCAGACTGGAGTGCAGTGGCCCAATCTCAGCTCACTGCAGCCTCCGCCTCCCGGGTTCCGGCGATTCTCCTGCCTCAGCCTCCTGGGTAGCTGGGATTACAGGCATGTGCCACCACCATACCCAATTAGTTTTTGTATTCTTAGTAGAGATGGGGTTTCACCACGATGGCCAGGCTGGTCTCAAACTTCTGACCTCAGGTGGTCCGCCTACCTTGGCCTCCCAAAGTGCCAGGATTACAGGTGTGAGCCACCACACCCGGCCACTTCTGAAGTTCTAAGAATTCATAAGACTTGTAATCAAAATCATGAATCATGGTTATGAATTTACAGTTTTAAATACTTAGAATAAAACCAGAAATTATTTTTTCTCACTTCAAGTCAATTTACCAATGCCATCCTGCCACCCTGCATAACTAGAGCAGTAGAACTTCACAAATTTCTTTTTTCTTTTTTTTGAGACAGGGTCTCGTTCTGTCACCCAGGCTGGACTGCAGTAGCATGATCTCTCAACGTGCAGTGGTGTGATCTTGACTCACTGCAACCTCCACCTCCTGGGCTCAAGTAATCTAACAGCCTCAGCCAACCAAAGTGCTAGGATTACAGGTGTGAGCCACTGTGCCTGGCCCAGCAAATTTCTATACAGGACCAGAGAGTAAATATTTTAGGGTCTATATTTGGGGCTCTATAATTTCTGTCCAACTCTGCTAGTGTAGAAGGAAAGCAGAATAGACAACATGAAAACAACATGTTTGTGTTCCAACAAAAAAAGGACAAAAACAAGTTTTTGGCCTATAGGTCAAAATTTGCTGACCCCTAGTCTGGACCAAAACAATGCACCAGTCCAAAGAAAACTACATTTTTTCAGAAAGCCCTCCCAGGATGGCAGAGAGGAAAATAAAATGAATTTCAAAGTGACTCACTGTTAAGCTACCTGTAAAGTTAGGTACACACATACAAAAAAATTTCTGGCCAAGTATTATTTTGAAAAAGTACTTAGGTCACTTAAAATGTGAATAATCCAACCACAATGATTAAAATTCATCAGCTACCCATTACTTTATACCTTGGAATAGGGTTTCTTGACTTTAGTACTACTGACACACTGTTATGACAACCACAAGTATCTCCAGACACTTTCCAATGTCCCCTTTGGGGGCAAAATCATGCCAGTTGAGAACCACTGCCCAAGAACAATGTCTGCACTTTGGCCTATCTTTAAAGTCTTTATTTTTTCATGTTTATAATTCTAGAATATCCAACTTTCATTTAACATCAGTTTAAATACTTTACATGTTACTACACAATGACTGTTTTAATGCCCACCTATGGAGATGCATTACAGTATTATAAAACCACAATTTTCCCATGGCTACTAGAAATCTATATTATTTACAATATAGCTGTTAGAAAACATTTGAAATTACTTCCTTAAGACACATCTATCAAATTAAAAACTCATGCACTGGGTCACTGACTATTTTAATGATTCAATCATAATTCTAATACAGAGTGTCTTCCAAAATAGCAGCAACCACACTACTGGCCATTTGTGACTCTTAGTTTCTCTGTATCCTTTAGCTAGAATGAGCTCATTCTAGCTCATGCTTCACTGTTGTCTCCAATTACTACTGAGGCTACCTGTAAATATATTATTACACTTTATTTCTCAAAATAGTGAAATCACAATGTTATTCAAAGAGCTAAGTTATCCATTTATAAGGCAAGAGGAAAAAAGTTTCTGAAATAAAATCTACTCTAAGCAATTTTTATCCAGCCACTGGTATTTACTAGCAGGCTGGCTCTTCTAATATTTACACTGGTATCATGTGGTAGCATTCTTTGTGAATAATGGGTTATCAAAGAGGTGATTCCAGGATGTGTTGTGAGGGAAAGTGATACCAATGGCTAAACAGTTCACCTTCTCTGAAATGATTAAAAGAACAAGAATATAACCCACATATGAATAAGAACAAATTTATAATATAAGCCTTGTTACATGAGCAGATTTCAAAAGTTTAAGAAGAGAATTACGAGTAATTAATAATAATCTTCAATGCTTACATTTTTCTTTTTTTACCCAAATTTAGTCGAATTTTAGCAACTTTGGGATATAAACCAGCACAGATGACAGCTTTAATTATCTTCTCATTATCTATGGGGGGTGAGAAGGTAGAGGGGAAAAGAAAAGTAAAATACTGATACAATAGACAAAAGATACTTATTTACACTGTGTTTCCTGCTGTACCTGAATTTATATTAGATTCTGGATCTTTAGGATTTCTACTGCTTACAAATCCAGCTCCAAGAAGATGCTCAGCAAACTGTCCTTTCATGTTATGCAGCATCTAGGGAGCAATGGTAACAAATAGAACTAGAATACCTTTCACACATTGAGGCTATAAACCATACACTAATAGATAAATTGAGTTGTAAGCTATCCCTGCTTTATGAAAACACTTTAGCAAACATGTTTTAAAGCAAGGGTTGGCAAACTACAAAAGCTGTTTTTGTCAATAACATTTTATTGGAACACAGCCACACCCATTCATCTACATTTGGTTGTTTTTGCACTACAATGGCAGAGGTCAATGCTTGTAACTGAGATCTTATGGCCTGTAAGCCTAAAATATTACCCGACTTTTCACAGAAAAAGTTTGCATGTTGTAAGGAATAGCCACTGATGTTTAAGGATTACTCTATTTTGTGAAAGACTAATAGAATTTTTAAAATTACTTTCCACCCCCATTTTTTAAAAAATATAGAAAAGCATAAAGAAAATAATCCACATCCATATTTCTATTACTGAGAATTAAATATGGTTAAAAATGGCAGGTAAGCTTAAGGTTTTGTTTTTTTTTTAAATAATGATACATGGCTTATTACAAAGCATTCAAGTAACATAGAAAAGTACTTCCCTTGCCTCAATACTCAGTCTTCTAAATAAATAAGATTGCAGACACCCATTAAGTATATATACTGATAGAAGAAATGCATCCTAATAACAGAATCATAGTATAGAAATTCTTTATAAAACAATTAACTTTAGTACAATTTAAAGAAAAGTTAAATAGAAAGGAAAGTGAATGACCAGATGAATCTTGTATTTTCATAACAGAAATATTTCCTAAGGAATTCCTTTTAGAGATTATGAAACATAAAGTTGGTTATATTTAAGTATATATCCCTTTTATGAAAGGTGTGACTTTCCCCACCTAATTTTTCTGACACCTGACTTTCTTAGACACCTCCTGGTTTTTACTGCCATTATTTTATACTGTTCAGGATAATAATCTTTACATTCTATTTTGCATGTGTAATTCCTAACACCATTTTGTTATTAGCTCTATATTTAAATACTTCTAATGTATATACACCAGCTGATTAAGCATGCACTCTCCATTCCTGAAATCTCCACTGTGATTCCCCTTTTAACTAACAGCATTTCACCGTCAATGGGCTTTTCAAGAAGAGCTCAGGGGTACAGTATTTCTTGAATGCCTGTTGTTTTTCTTTACACCTGAATTC